>NC_000023.11:90038299-90341329 GCF_000001405.40 Homo sapiens | reverse complement strand
AAAGCTATAAAAACCCTGGAAGAAAATCCAGGCAACACTATTCAGGACATTGGCACAGGCAAAGATTTCATGACCAAAATGTCAAAACAGCAACAAAAGTAAAAATTGACAAATGGAACCTAACTGAACTAAAGAGCTTTTGCACAGCAAAAGAAACTATCATCAGAGTGAACAGATAACCTACAGAACGGAAGAAATTTTTTACAATCTATCTATCTGACAAAAGTCTAATATCCAGATTCTACAAGGAACTTAAACTTAGAAAAATCAAACAACCTCCTTAAAAAGTAGGCAAAGGACATGAACAGACAATTCCCGAAAGAAGACATTCATGTAGCCAACAAACATATGATAAAAAGCTAAACATCATTGATCATTAGAGAAATGCACATCAAAATCACAATGAGATACCATCTCGCACCAGTCAGAATGGCAATTATTAAGAGTCAAGAAACAACAGATGCTGGCGAGGCTGTAGAGAAATGGGAATGCTTTTACACTGATAGTGGCAATATACATTAGTTCAACCATTGTGGAAGACAGTATGGCGATTCCTCAAAGACCTAGAACTAGCAATTGCATTACTGGGAATATACCCAAAGGAATAAAAATCTTTTCATTATAAAGATACATGCACACATGTGTTCATTGCAGCACTAATCACAATAGCAAAGATACGGAATCAACCCAAATGCCCAAAAGTTATACACTGTATAAAGTAAATGTGGTACATATACACCATGGAGTAATCTGTAGCCACAAAAAGGAACAAGATCATGTCCTTTGCATAGACATGGATGCAGCTGGAAGCCATTATCCTCAGCAAACTAATGCAGGAACAGAAAACCAAACACTGAATATTCTCACTTATAAGTGGGAGCTGTATAATGAGAACATATGGAAACAGGGAGGGGAACAACACACACTGGGGCCTGTTGTTGGGAGGGACGGGGAGGGAGAACCTCAGAAAAAGTAACTAATGTGTGCTGGGCTTAATACCTAGGTGATGGGTTGATAAGTGCAGCAAACCACCATGGCATATGTTTACCTATGTAACAAATTTGCACATCCTGCACGTGTATCCCAGAACTTAAAATTAATTAAAAAGTAAACAAATAAAAACAACAACGAAAAAATAAATGTGTGTGGTTAAGCCAGTCAATTATGATGAAGTTAGAAAAATAACTTGGGGAAAAGACAAAAATCCTGCTCTTTTTCAGGGTCATTTCTTTGAGGCACTCAGAAAATATTCTAATTCAGACCAACACTCTCAAGAATGGCAAGCTCTACTATGTATACATTTTATTACTCAATCTGTCCCTGACATTAGGAGAAAGCTACAAAAAGCAGCAGTTGGACCTCAACCCCTTGTGAGACAACTCTTAAACGTAGCCTTTAAAGTTACAACCATAGAGGCAGGAAAAAGAGAGACAACCAAGAAGCGCATTTGTTGATAGTTGCTTTAGCCCCTTTCCACCACAGAATTACCCATCTTGAGAAAGAAAATGTCATGAGATCAGCATCTAGGATGCCCAGAGAAGAGCCCCCAACATCCCAGCCCCTGGGCCAAAATCAGTGTGCATACTATAAGCAAAAGGGCCACTGGAAATTAGAATTTCCTAACCAACCCCAGTGAGCTCAAAAAGCTTCCCATCAATACTAGAGCTAACTTCCTTCCACTAGCCCCAACGAGCTGCCTTGCTCAAGTAAGTTTACTAGGAGACTTGGATCTTTGACCTGATGAACAGCTCCTCAAAGTGGCATACAAATGGCCGCTTTAACATTTTTCTTTAGTGTCTTCACTGCTGGGTGAGCTCTTTGGTTGCTTGGGAAACCCAGGGTCTCCCCTTAAGCAATGAAGTTCACCCTCTCCCTTCCTTATGTGATATTATGTAATCATCTTCCCTGCCTCTTCTTGTCTTTCATACCTACTGGGGCAAACAAAATTTGGCCAGGTAGATGGGTCCCAAATTTATAAATAACTTGGATCCAATTGTCTAGTATAGGTTACTTTGTGTGATGTGTGCTGTATCTAGCATGCTATCAAATTGGCTTAGAAATAGAAGAGTGCTGGTCAATTAAACAAATAAGAAGTCTAAACTTGTTAGTTTGAAAAGAATATTGTGTCTTCTAAAATTTAACTCTAAGATTTTTACCTAGGTAAACCACTGATGTTTTGGTATGGTTTAGAGTTGTTAAAATGGGTTTAAATAGTGAGCTTCTTTACAGTTTAAATCATATAATTGTAAAACAGTTTTAATCTATGGAACAATGCCTGATGCACAGTTCAGATTCTTGCTCCCTAGCTTTATATAATATGTGCCAAAAACAATGTGTTTTTTCATTGGGAAAAAGAGTATTTTCATCAAATTAAGAAGTTATTAAAAGGGAGGTTCAAAATATAAAGAAATCAGTGAGTAGAAAACAGAGGTGTTAAGTAAGTTATGGATAGATGTATTTTTTTTCAAAGGAATGATATAAAGAAAGAGTGACTTTTTAATAAAGAGGGATTTTGTACAGTAAATTCTTGTCCTAAAGTAACAAGACTGGTTATTTAAGAAAAAGGTAGAATAAGACACATAGGGAGCCCAAGTATGTTGTAGATGGTCTGTGTGGGTCATGATATGGGATTTATGAAGGGGAATTTGTGGGAAGAATTTTGTTCATGATTAAGCTAACTATGATTGAAGAAAAATGGTTTGCAGTAGACTTTCTAGAGAATGATCTACCTATGGGAACTGGGTTTTCTTAAGGTATTGATTTGATAAATTGTGGGAAATTTTGTTTTTAATGCTACAACTGGTTTCTTTAAAAATGTCTTAGATTTGTGTCTCAGCAATTTAACTGTTATTGTGTCTCACTTCTTTTTAGCTTTTTCTCCCTTTTCAAAGGCATAGCATGATGACTCTATCCTTTAGCTTTTTCATCAAAATCAGCTCCTGTAACTTTTTTCCCCTCCAGTTCTGTTGCTCTGGCCTGATGCTAGTGTTTTGTCTTAGATGTCCGTGGAAACAGCGTTTTCCCACAGTATAGTTTGATTCTATGCTCTCAGTTTTACCTGCCATATAACCTTATTTTTGGCTTTTAGTTTTTGATTCTTATATCGCTTAGAAAGATTTTATGGGCTAATGAGTGCATGCCCACTTCCATTCCTGTCTGGCCTAGAAGGTTACGTTAAATTGGCTATATATATTTTCACTCTAATTCCCTTGGGCAAAGGGAATCCCAAAGAAACTTAAGAAAACTACCCGGGGCCATAACAGGAAAAAGGGGGTCAGACATGCCTCACTATGTCCCATTTACAATTTAGGCTAGGTTCACAAAGACCTTCAAGAATATAGAAATACAGTATTGTCCCCTCCTCAAAAATTTAGTCTTACTAAAAACTTAAAAAGAAGAATTCCCTGAGGAACAATTACAAGCAAAATGGGAGGGCCATACTATCAGGTATTGTTAAGTATCCTCTCTGCTATTAAATTTCATGGAATCACTAGCTGGGTACACCTGTCCAAGATTAAACTGGTTTCTTATAAGTCCCCATAGGCATAAGAGTAAGATACCGTGGCTTACACTTATAAACTCCAAAAAGACTTAAAGTTATTATTTCATGAACACATAAATAACATGATGCTGTGGGTGGGCTTAGGAATATTAATTTTTCTCTTCCTCGTATGCTGTGGGTGGGCCTAGGAACATTAATTTTTCTCTTCCTCGTAATCGTAGTTTTCTTATTTAACCTCCTAGGTTTATATCGTTTACATTCCACATAAAGGTGATGCTGACACAAGGCTTCCAACCCATCCAATCATCTGACCTGGAAAATGAAAATATCCTCCCATCGTGCCCCTCAGATTAGGTGCCAGAGATTTTAACTCCTCCAATGCTAGGCAGGGCCTATACCTATAGAATCATCAAGAAGCAGTTCCAGAAGATGGACCCCTGCTCTTCTACTGCCCCCTTAAGGTTAAAGAGAAGTATCTAATCTCTGAGTGAGAAATGAGGTAGGAGACAGGCAGGACTTGTTTCCTGGTCACAACCCTGCTAGGGTTGAACAGGATCTAGTCCAGACAGGATGAGGTGAAGAAACCAGCAGGAACAAGCGGATGGTGATGAAAGTGATCCCTAGTTGCCCTCATTGCTCATTAGCATAAGATACTCCCACCAGTGCCATCAGAGTTTACAAATGCAATAGCAATGCCCGAGAAGTCACCACTCCTTTCCAAGGCAATGACCTGGAAGTTACTGCCCATTTTCTGGAAAGTTCTAAGTAACCCATGCATTTATAGATAATAGGACTCCATTGTAGTTCCTTTCACTCCTGGCTTTCTAGGAGTTTTTATTATTTTAACTCATAAATGGGTTTTCATATCAATCCAATGCTTTGTGATTTCTGTAAGTACTATATTATTTTCTTGTTTATTATTTTAATATAGTAAACTACATTGATATGTTTTTCTAATGGTGACGCACCCTTTCTCTCTTAGAATAATCCGTGTTTGGTAATGACATTGTATTATTTTAATACGCTGTTGGATTCCATTGACTAACATTGAGAACTTTGCATCTTCATTCTTAAGAGATGTTGGCCTCTTGATCATTTTTCTTCATTTTTTCTGATGTGGGTTTATGTGTATGTCTATTTGCTATTCTTATTCAATTTTCGTATTAGTATTATGCTATGTTTACTATTCTATATGTTTTTATGGGAATCTCATTTGTACCTATTATTTAAAATATAATATTCTGATCACTTTAAACTTGTATCTGCAGTTCAGACAATTAAGTTCTTATCTGTACATTCAACTATCTATGAGAAAGTATCACCTATGTTTCTAAAAATCACTTCAAAATTAACTCTTCATAAATCAAGTGTATTTCTTCTTTGTAGTACATCCTTTCTATGAGTCAATAATTACATTTTTGATCTGATTCACTTAAGTAGAAACCCATTTAAGTCACTTGGAATTTCACTTGCTATCTCACTTACCACATTAAATTAGCAATTACATGCAAACAAGTATACTCCTAAATATCTTTTCAATATGTCTTCTAGTCTTTCCTTCCATTGTCACTCACTTAGTTAAGGCCTTCATGATGCCTCAGCTGTGCTACTGCAATGATTTCCTGTTCTTTCTGATTTTATTTTCACCCTTTCAACTCACCTCCCAAACTACCACAACAGATATTTTTTCTGAATTAGAAATCTGATTATGCCACTTGCCCACTTAAAATGCTTCAGTGGCTTCCCATTGACTTCAGAAAAAAGATTAAGCTCTACACTAGTGAGGAAAGACTCTTTCTCTTCTAACCATTGTCTAACTTTCTGGTCTTAATCCCTATCAATCCTTTTTTTTCCAGATGTAGTAATAATTTTACTTTTTCTAAGGAGCCATGCTTTCCTTTGCCTTGTTATTTTAAACCAAGTTTGCTGTCTTCTGCTTCAAATAACATTATCTGCTCCTTAAATGTTACTAAACCTTCATAACTCATCTCAAGCAAGATTTCCTCTCAGAAACATTTTCTGACTTACCCTCCCCTAGAATATTGAGGAATATATATTTTATTTATGCTTTTTCTTTATGACCCTCTAGTATCGAGTATACTATGATATAGTATTAAAACAGTTAATTGTTTTGCCTATGTTATTCAGTAAATTGAAATGCCTCAGGATACTTGTCTTGTATGTCTCGATATTTCCAAATTTAGTACAGTTCCAGGCAGAAATTTGATAATCTATGAGTATCATAGAATGAATGAAATTGACAAAGCTACTTTGAAAATTAAACAGTGAAGGAGAGAGATTGTGCTATGACAATCCACTCAGAACAAATTCTAAGTCTAAAATACAAAAATGGACAGGAAGTAGAAACTAGGAAAGCACAAGAAATAATTAGAATTAGTCAGATTTCAACATGTCCTTTCTGCAGCCCTCTTGGGCTTTGCCAAACCCTCATTAAAATGACGGTGACTAAACGAAAAATGACAATGGTCATTAAAATGTATTAAGAACTTCCTATATTCCAGCCACTGTGTTAGATAATTTATAATAATAATCTTATTCTTAAATCAATATAAATAAAACTATACCCAAGAAAAAACTTGTATTTAGAAAGATTAGCCCAAATTATGGAGATGGAGTTTGTTGACAGATTTGTCGGGCTACAAAGCCTTTGATTTTCTTACACACCCCACAATACATCTGTTGCTTCTGTATAGTTCTGATCCAATCATAGTTACTACTATTGCAGCAACAAATTTCTTCTCATGTGACATGATCTTAAGTAGCATGTAATTGTAAGTCTTATATATTTTAGTGCAGAACACTAATTGTTTTATGCTGAAACTTCCATATTTTATTCTAGAACTATTTAAACTGAAATTCCACTTAGAAAATCTACTTAGCATCATTTAATGATTGCCAAGTTATGACTTAAAAAGAGATGCAAATAATCTGAATAAATTTAATAATTTATGGGCTGTGCTTGTGTCTTTCGTGATTTTTATTATTTTCTCACTCTATCTAAAGTGTTAGTATAAAAGTAAATTAGCTAACTTTTAGAGTTTTCCTTTATGCTTTTTAAGATAAAGTTGTCCAGAATGAGTCTGGTGTGTGAAATTGAAAGTAAATATATGCATTTCCCACAACTTTACCATACACAGCTGTCATTCTAATGCCACTGGAAAGCAGGTTTTCTTCAAAGTTGTGTACTTTCTTTTAGAATACAGAAGCCATAAATAATAACCATTTATAAATTAAGTCATAATTTGGGTGAAGCATTACTTATCAGATATAATTTGAGGATTTCTGAAGAAAATAAGCTTCAATTTTTGCTAACATCTGGATCTTCTTATTTCAATAGCTTCCCTGGGTTGTAAAAATACTACCTAATATGTACCTTCTGTCATTTTAATTGATTTAGTTGTTCACTATAAGCTCCTGTCTTTGTAAGTTCTGCATTTAATTCATGTATGTATGAAAATTACTTAGAAACTAACAATGACACAATTTTTGAGTCTGAGAACAGATGGCTCCTTTGGGTAAAAACAATCTGGTAATGTGAGTTCTCTAGATATATTTAACTAATTCTACCCCGATCTATTTCATTCAATGTTACTAGGAAATAACATTAACTGTGTCAAGTTTTTTATCTTTGAACATTTATTTATCGTTTTTAAAATTAAGCTAAGATAATCATAACTAAATTTAACTTTTTAAAATTGTACACTTTAATGACATTAAATACATTTAACTTGTTGTGCAAACATCACCACCATCCATCTCCAGTACTCTTTGCATTTTGCAAAATTGAAGGTCTGTACCCATTAACCTATGATATCCTTTTCCTCCTTCTCAGTTTGTGGAAATCACCACTCTATTTTCCGCCTTTATGTATTTGGCTACTCTAGGTACCTTATATAAATTAAATCATACAATATTTGTACTTTTGTGTCTGATTTATTTAACTTAGAATAATTTTCTCAAGTTGTTCATGTTATATCATGTGTCACAATTTTCTTCCTTTTTTCCATTGTGTGCATATACAACATTTTTTTTTCCTATCCATTCATCTGTCAGTGAACATTGAGTTTGCTTCCACTTTTTGGCTACTGTGAGTAATGGTGCTATGAATATGCATGTACAGATATCTCAAGTCCCTGCTTTCAATTCTTTTGTGTATGTACTCAAGAGTGGAACTGTTATATGATATGACAGTTATATTTCTAATTTCTTGAGAAACCACCATGCCGATTTCCACAGTAACTGCACTCTTTTACACTTTCTCCAGCATTGCAGAAGAGTCGCTATATATTTACATCCTTTCTACCACTTGTAACTTTGTATTTTTCTTTTTATAATTGTGATCCTAATGGGTATAATGTGCATCTCATTGTGATATTGATTTGCATTTCCCTAATGATTCATGATGGTGAGCATTTATTTCAGGTGCTTTTAGCCGTTTTGGAGAAATATGTATTCAAACCCTTGGCCCATTTTTTAATCAAGTTGTCTTTTTTGTCATTGAGTTTTAGGAGTTCTTTATATGTTCTGAATATGAATCATCCCCTGCTGTGGAGTTAATTGTGTCCCTGCCAAATCCACATGTTGAAGTCATAACTCCTAATTTGACAATATTTGGAGATAAGGGCTATATGGATGTACAAGTTAAATGAGGTCATGGGGTGGTTCCCTGATCTGACAGGATTAGTTTTCCTGTAAGATGAGACACAAGACAGCTGTCTTGCTCTTTCCATCATGTGAAGAAACAGAGAAAGTTGGCTGTCTGCAAGCCAGGAAGAGAGCCCTCAATATAAAATAATCTTTCCAATCCTTAATCTGGGAATTGTAGCTCCAAGTGTGAAAAAATAAATTTCTGTTGTTTGAGGTATCCAGTCTATGGTATTTTCTTATAAGAGCATGTGCAGCCTAATGCAACCCCTTATCAGATATACGACTTGCAAATACTTTTCCCATTGTGCAGCTCACATTTTTACTTTGCTGATTGTGTCTTTTGAGGCACAGATTTTAGTTTTGATATAGTCCAATCTATCTGTTTTTTTAATTTTGCCGCCTGTGCTCTTGGTGTCATACCCAAGAAAACATTGCCTAATGCAAGGTAAGGAAATTTTCCCCTATTTCTCTTTCTACAAGTTTCATAGTTATAGTTCTCATATTTAGGTCTTTTATTCATTTGAGTTAATTTTTGTGTAGGCTGTAAGATAAGGGTCCAACTTCATTGTTTTGCATGTGGATATTCAGCTTTCCCAATATAATTTGTTAAATACTATTTCACCAAGGAATGGCACTGGCACCCTTGATGAAAATTATTTGACCACATGTGAGACCACATTTGGGGGCCCCTATTTTATTCAATTCAACAATTTGTCACTCTTCATCCCAGTATCAAGGTATTTTGATTTCCGTAACCTTTTAGTAAAATTTGACATAAGAAAGTGTGAGTACTACGACGTTGGTTTCCTCTATCAGATAGATTTTTTTTTTCTGCCTTTTTGTGTCCCTTGTGATTCCATATGAATTTGAGTATAAACTTTTCTACTTAAGCAAAAAAATTTTGGAATGTTGATAGCAATTGCGTTAAATCTGTAGATCGCTTTGGGCAGTATAAGCATCTTAATAATACTAGGTATAGCAATTCACGAATACTGGATAACTTTCCATGTACTACTGTCTTATTCGTTTCTTTCAGCAATATTTAATGGTTTTCAGTGCTCAAATATTTCACCTCACTGGTTAAACATATTTCTAATACTTTTTAAAGATTATTGTAAGTAGAATTTCCTTTTCAGATTGTTTGCTGTTAGTGCATAGAAATGCATCTGATTTGGGGGCGTTGACTTTGTATTCTGAAACTGTTTGATTTTTTATTTGTTCTAACAAGTGTGTGTGTGTGTGTGTGTGTGTGTAAAATATTTAGGGATTTCTACACATTAGATCACATATTAGATCATATCATATCTTCTGTTATTTAAGATAATTTTACTTCTTTCTATCCCATAGGAATGCCTTTTTTTTCTTGCCTAAGTGCTCTGGCAAGCTTTCAGTACTATGTTGAATAGAAGTGCAAAAACAGGTGATATGGTTTGACTGTGTCCCCCAAAGTTCATGTGTTGGAAACTTGATCCCCAATTTGATGATGTTGGGAGGTGGGGCATAATTGGAGGTGTTTGAATCATGGGAGCACCACTATCATGAAGGGGTCAATTCTGTTATTGTGGAGGAGGCTTTATTATCAAGGAAGTAAGTTTCTTATAAAAGGCCAAGTTTGATCCCCGCTTGCTGTCTCTCTCTTTTTCGTTCTGCCATGTGATGTCTTCCACCATATGATGACACAGCAAGAAGGCTCTTACCAGATGTTGGCATTCTATTTTTGGACTTCCTAGCATTCTGAACTGTGAGAAAATAAATTTCTATTATTTATAAATTACCCATTCTCGGGTCTTCTGTTATGGCAGCACAGAATAAACTAAGACAGCAGACATTCTTGTCTTTTTCTTACTCTTAGAAGGAATTCAGGTTTTCACCATTATGTGTGATTTTAACTGTAGGCTTTTCACATACGGTCTTTATTATATTGAGGTAGTTTCCTTTTATTACTATTTTTAAGTGTTTTTATCATGAGAAGGTATTAAATTTTCAAAATTTCTTTGTCTGTAACAATTGAGATGGTCATGTGCCATTTGTTCTTCTTTTACATTACTGTGCTGTTTTCCTTTGATTTTTAGCTTTTATTTTAGGTTTAGTGTTACAAACTCAGGGTTTTTTTTTTACATACAAAAGCTTGTGTCATAAGGTTTGTTGTACAGTTTATTTCATCAACCAGGTATTCAGTCTAGTGCCCATTAGTTATTTTTCCTGATCCTCTCCCTTCTCCCACCCTCTGGAAGACAACAGTGTGTGTGCTGTTTCCCTCTATGAGTCCATGTGTTCTTATCATTTATCTCCCACTTATTAGCAAGAACATACTGTATTTGGTCTTCTGTTTCTGTGTTAGTTTGCTAAGGATAATGTCCTCCAACTCCATCTGTGTCCCAGCAAAGGACAAGATCTCATTCTTTTTATGACTGCAGAGTATTCTATGATGTATATGTACCATATTTTCTTTATCTAGTCTATCATTTATGGTTATTTAAGGATGATTTCATGTCTTTGCTCTTGTGAATAGTGCTGCAAAAAACATATGCATACATGTTTCTTTATAAAACATATGCATACATGTTTCTTTATAATAAAAAGATTTATATTCCTTTGGGTATATACCCAGTAATGGGATTTTGGGGTCAAAATCCAAGGATTTTGGATTCCTGTCTTTAGGCCTTTGAGGAATGACCACACTGTCTTCCACCATGGCTGAACTAATTTGCACTCCCACCTACAGTGTGTAAGTGTTCCTTTTTCTTCACAACCTTCACATCTGTTACTTTTTAACTTTTGAATAATATTCTTTGTGATTGGTGTTAGATGGTATCTCACTGTGGTTTGGATTTGCATTTCTCTAATAATCAGTGATGTTGAGCTTTTAAAAAATTATTGGTGTCAACATATATGCCTTGTTTTGAAAAGTGCTGTTCATGTTTTTTTGCCCACTTTTTTGTAGGGTTGTTTGTATTTTTCTTGTAAATTCATTAAGTTCCTTATAGATGCTGGATATCAGACCTTCGTTGGATGCATAGTTTGCAAAAATTTCTCCCATTCTGTAGGGTGTCTGTTTACTTTGTTGATAGTTTTTTTAATGTTGTGCATAGGCTCTTTAGTTTAATTAGATCCAATTTGTCCATTTTTGCTTTTGTTGACATTGTTTTTGACTTCTTCATCATAAAATCTTTGCCCATGCCTATGTCCTAACTGGTATTGCCTAGGTTGACTTCCAGGGTTTTTATAATTTTGGGTTTTACATTTAAGTCTTTAATTCATCTTGATGTAATTTTTTTGTATGGTGTAAAGAAGGGTTTCAGTTTCAATCTCCTGCATATGTCTGGCCTGTTATACCAGCACCATTTATTGCATAGGGAGTGCTCTTCCCATTGCTTGTTTTTGTCTGGTTTGTCAATGATGAGTTAGTTGTAGGTTCATGTTCTTCTTATTTCTAGGTACTCTAATCTGTTCCATTGGTCTATCTGTCTGTTTTTGTACGAGTCCCATTTGTTTGGGTTACTGTAGCCCTATATAGTAGTTTCAAGTCAGGTACAGTGATGCCTCCAGCTTGGTTTTTTATTTTTTTCTTTTTACTTACAGTTGCCTTGGCCATTGAGGCTCTTTTTGGTTTTATATGAATTTTAAAATAGTTTTCTTTGTTTCTGTGAAGAATGTTAATGGTGATTTAATAGGAATAGCATTGACTCTATAAATTGCTTTGAGTAGTATGGCCATTTAAAAAATATTGATTTTTTCCATCCATGAGCATGGAATGTTTTTCCATTTGTTTGTGTCATCTCTGACTTTTTTTGAGCAGTGGTTTGTAGTTCTATTTGTGGAGATATTTCACCTCTATAGCTAGCTGTATTCTTAGATATTTTAATTTTTTTCTGGCAATTGTGAATGGGAGTTTGTTTCTAATTTGGCTCTTGGCTGTCGTTGAAGTATAGAAATGGTAGTAACTTTTGCATATTGATTTTGTATTCTGAGATTTTGCTGAAGTTGCTTATCAGCTTACGAAGCTTTCCAGCTGAGAATATGGGGTTTTCTAGATACAGGATCATGTAATCTGCAAACAGGGATAGTTGTACTTTCTCTCTTCCTTTTTGGATGCCCTTTATTTCTTTCTCTTGTCTAATTGTTTTGGCTAGAACTTCCAATGCTATGTTTACTAATAGTGGTGAAAGAGGGCATTCGTTCCTTGTGCTGGTTTTTAAGAAGAATTCATCCAGCTTTTGCCCATTCAGAATAATGTTGGCTGTGGATTTGTCATAGATGGTTCTTATTATTTTGAGATGTTTTTCCAATATCTTTATTTAGATTTTTAACATGAATGGATGTTGAATTTTATCAAAAGTCTTTTCTACATCTACTGAGATAATTGTGTCTTTCTTTTTTGTTTTTAGTACTGTTTATGTAATTAATCACATATATTGATTTGCTTATGTTGAACCAACCTTGCATCCCAGATATGAAGCCTCCTTGATCATGGTGGATAAGCTTCTGGACGTGCTACTGGATTCGGTGTGTCAATATTTTGCTGAGAATTTTTGCATTTATGTTCAAGCATGTTCGTCTGATGTTTTCTTTTTTGTTATCTCTGCCAGATTTTGGCATCAGGATAATGCTGGCCTCATTGAATGCCTTAGGGAGAAGTCTCTCCTACTCAATTTCATGGAATAGCTTCTGTAGGAATAGTGTCAACTCTTCTTTGTACATCTGGTAGAAATCAGCTGTGAATTCACCTGGTTCTGGGCTCTTTTTGGTTTATAGGCTATTTATTACTGACTCAATTTCAGAGCTCATATTGGTCTGTTCAGAGATTCAAATTCTCCCTGGTTCATTTCTGGAGGGTGTAAGTTTCCATTACTTTATCCATTTATTCTAGATTTTCTAGTTTGTGTGCACAGAGATGTTCATAATATTCTCCGATGGTTGCTTGCATTGCTCTGGGGTGAGTGATAATATCCCCCTTGTCATTTCTGACTGTGTTTATTTGAATCCTATATCTTTTCCTATTTATCAGTCTACCTAGTAGTTTCTTTGTTAATTATTTCATCATGATGTTAGCTGATTATTTTGCAGACTTCTTTATATGGTTGCTTTATAGTGTCACTGGTCTGTGTAGTTCAGTGTGTTTTTTGTAGTTCTTGGTAATATTCTTTCCCTTCCATATTTAGTGCTTTGTTGCAAGTCTGAGAGTAACATATTTTCTCAGCATTTGCTTCTCTGTGAAGGACCTTATTTCTTCTTTGCATATGAAGATTAGTTTGGCTGGATATGAAATTCTGGGCTGGAATTTCTTTTCTTAAAAATGTTGAATATTGGCCCCTAATCTCTTCTGGCTTGTAAAGTTTCTTCTGAGAGGTCGGCTGTTAGTCTGATGGGCCTTTACTTTGTAGGTAATCTGTCCTTTCTCTCTAGCTGTCTTTAAGATTTTTTTAATTTCATTTGACACTTGGAGAGTCTGATGACTATTTGTCTTGGGGATGATCTTCTCATAGAGTGTCTTACTGGGGTTATCTGCATTTCCTAAAGTTGAATGTTGGCCTCTCTAGCTAGGTTAGGGAATTTTTCATGGATACGTCATGAAAAATGTTTTCCAAGTTGTTTCCATTCTTCTAGTCTCTTTCAGGTGCACCAAACGATCATAGATTTGGTCTCTTTACATAATTCCATGTTTCTCGAAGATTTTGTTCATTCCTTTTTATTCTTTTTTTCTCTATTCTTGTCTTCCTGTCTTGTGTCAGAAAGACAATTTTCAAGCTACAAGATTCTTTCCTCCACTTGGTCTATTCTTCTATTAATACTTGTGATTGCATTATGAACTATTTGTAGTGTGTTGTTCATCTCTATCGGGTTGGTTATATTCTCTTCTATACTGGCTGTTTTCTCTGTCAGCTCCTGTATTGTTTTATCATGATTCTTAACTTCTTTGCATTGGGTTACAACATACTCCTTTAGCTCAGTAAACTTCATTCCTATATATATTCTGAATTCTATTTCTGTCATTTCAGCCTTCTCAGCCTCAGCCTGGTTTCGAATCTTTGCTATAGAGGTGATGCAGTCATTTACAGTAAAAGGAACACTGGCTTTCTGAGTTTTCAGCAATCTTGCACTGATTCTTTCTCATATTTAGGGCTTATCTACCTTCAATCTTTGAGGTTGCTGCTTCTTTTAAATATATAACATTCTGCCTACCTTTCCATAAGGCTGCTGCGGTATGCTTGGGGTCCCAGTTTTTCCAGTACCTGGAGGTAACACCAGTGAAAGCTAGAAAACAGCAAATGTGGCAGTTTTCTCCTTTTTTTGGGAGCTCTGTCCCAGGGAGGTACAGACCTGTTGCTGGCCCAAACGCACCTGTAGGAAACGGCTGAAGAACCCATTTGGGAGGTCTCACCCAGGCAGGAGGAATGAGATCATGGGCCTCATTAAAAAAGTTGTCTGATCATGTTTTTGTAGAGCAGCTGTGCTCTTCTGGGGGTTCATGTCCACCTCTGGCAGCCTCAGACACTCTGAAACCCAAAGGCTAGAATGGATAAGTCATCCAAACAGCCAAGATGGTGGCCTGTCTCTCCTCTTCATAGCTGCATCCCAAGGAGGCCCAAATCTTCTGTCAGCCAGAGAACACTGGTGAGGGTAGCCACAGATCCTAGTTCAGGGGCTCCACTCAGTGATGAGGAATGGGGTCAGGGACCTGCTTAAAAAGCAGTATGGCCATGTTTTTGTGGGGCCACTGTGCTGTGTTGAGGTACCATTTCCACCCCCAGTAGGCTTGGACTCTCCAAGGCTGGAAAGCCAGAACTGCTGAGTCATCCAAACAGCAAAGATGGCAACCTGCACCTCCTTCTGGAAGTTTTGTCCCAGCAAGTTTTCAAATCCCTTCAGCTGGAGAACACTGGTGGGTGTGGCTCAAGGCTCTGGTTGGGAGGTTCCACCTTAGTGAGGAGGAACAAGATTGAGAACACACTTAAAGAAGCAATATATTCATGCTTTTGTAGAGCAGCTCTGCTGTGCTGGGGTACCTCTTCTGCCTCAGTTGGCTTGGGCTCTCCAAAGCTCACAGGCTGGAATGTCCAAGTTACCCCAACAGCAAAGCTGGCAGCCTACTCCTCCCCACCATGAACTCTGTCTAAGATAGGCACAATATTGCTACTGGTGGCTGGCTATCAAACCAAGCCAGTGGGCCTTATCCTGTGAGTCACAGTGGAAGTGGGGCCTGCAGACCTTCACTGATTGGGACCCTGGCTCCAGCCTCTTTCCTAGAGGTATATATGGGGCTCTAACCACCCACTTTGTCAGAGTGACAGTTACTTCTACTGGGAAGCCCAGAAATCTAGAATATCCAAAGCTTCCATGTCTCCATATGCGCCTGAGTGGCAGCTTTGCCAAGGCTCCAAGTAGCTCTGTGTGTCAGCCTGAAGGCCTTGTTGAAGTGGGTTCACCAGGGGATCTCTTAACCTGATGGTTGGAAAGATCTGTGAGATGAGTGTGGTTTTCCGAAGTTGCACATTCACTCACCACTTCCCTGGGTAGGGGAGGTTCCCTTTGCACTGTGTTGTTCCCAGACGGGCCATCAAACTGCCTTACTATTCTCTATTCTTCAGGGGTCGAGTTGTTTCCTTGAGTAGTTCCAATGTAAGCATCTGGATGTTTCAGCTGAAGGTACCGTATTTGCTCACCCCTTCCATTTCTCTCCATGAAAGCCACACACCCTAGCTGCTTCTAGTCAGCTATCTTGGGAATACCCTGATTGATTTTTATAGGGTGAATTTTCCTTACATTCCAGAATAAAAACCACATTTTTGATGGTGTATAATCCTTTTAAAATACTCAAATTCTCTTTGCTAGTATTTTGTTGACAATGTTTGCATCACTATTAATCAGGAATATTTGGCTGTACCTTGCTTTACTTGTACTTTTGTTGTCTAGTTTTGGTATCAGAGTAACTGGCCTCATAGAATTAGTTAAGGAGTGTTCTCTCCACTTCATTTTTTTTTTTAAGTTTCAGAAACGTTGGTGTTATTTCTTCTTTAAATGTTTGGTATAATCCGCCAGTTGATAATGGTTTGGTTCTGTGTCCCCACCCAAATCTCATGTTGAATTGTGATTTCCAGTATTGGAGGTGGGGCCTGGTGGAAGATAATTGGTTCCTGGGGATGGTTTCCAATGATTTAGCACAACCCACTAATCCTGTCTCATGATAGAGTTCTCACAAGATCTAGTGGTTTGAAAAGTGTGTAGCACCTGGCTGGGTGCAGTGACTCATGCCCATAATCCAAGCACTTTGAGAGGCTGAGGCGGGCAGATCACAAGTTCAGGAGATTGAGACCATCCTGGCTAACACGGTAAAACCCCATCTCTACTAAAAATACCAAAAAATTAGTCGGGCATAGTGGCAGGCACCTGTAGTCCCAGCTACTCAGGAGGCTGAGGCAGGAGAGAGGCAGAGCTTGCAGTGAGCCAAGATCATGCCACTGCATTCCAGCCTGGGCGACAGAGTGAGACTTTGTCTCAAAAAAAAAAAAAAAAAAAAGAAAGGAAAAAAAAAAAGAAAAGAAAGAAAAGTGTGTAGCACCTCCCCACTTTGCTCTCTATCTCTTCTGCCGGACTTATGAATATGTGCCTGCTTCCCCTTCACCTTCTGCCATGATTGTAAGTTTCCTGAGGCCTTACCAGAAGCAGAAGTCTGTATATCCCATAAAACCATGAGCAGATTAAACCTCTTTTCTTTATAAATGACTCACTCTCAGATAGTTCGTTATAACAATGTGAAAAAGAACTACTACAGAAAATTGGTATCATCAGAGAAGTGGGGCTTTGCTCTAAAGATACCTGAAAATGTGGAAATGACCATTAAACTGGGTAATGGGCAGAGGTTGGAGTCGTTTGGAGGGCTCAGAAAAAAAAAGACAGGAAGATGAGAGAAAGTTCAGAACTTTTTTGAGACTTGTTGAATGGTTTTGACCAAAATGCTGAAGTCCAGGCTGAGAAGGTCTCAGATGAAGATGAGGAACTCACTGCAAACTGGGGTAAAGGTCACACTTGCTATGCTTTAGCAAAGAGTCTGGTGTCATTGTGCCCCTGCTCTAGAGATCTGTGGAACTTTGAACTTGAGGGAGATAATTTAGAATAGCTGGCAGAATACATTTCTAAGCAGCAAAGCATTTAAGATGTGGCCTAGCTGTTTCTAAAATCCTATGCTCATTTGCCTAAATAAACAAAAAAATACCTGAAACTGGAACTTACATTTAAAAGGGAAGAACATAAAATTTTGAAAAATTTGCAGCCTGGCCATGTGGTAGAAAAGAAAAGAAAAGAAAAGAAAAAACATTTTCGGGGAGAAAATGAAGCCCGTTGCAAAAACTTGCTTAAATAAAGAAGAGCCAAATGTTAATAACAAACACAATGGGGAAAATCCCTCCAATTTATTTCAGAGATCTTCACAGCATCCCCTTCCATCACAGGCCTGGAGGCTTAGGAGGGAAAAATGGTTTCATGGGCCAGGCCCAGGGCTCCACTGCTCTGTGCAGCATTGGGATAAGGCTGCCTGTGTCCCAGCCACTTAAACTCTAGCTGTGGCTAAAAGGGTCCCAAATACATCTCAGGCTGCTACTCCAGAGGGTACAAGCCAGAAGCTGCCAAGATTTCCATGTGGTGTTAAGCCTGTGGGTGGAAAGAGGGCAAGAGCTGAGGCTTGGGGGCCTCTGCCTAGATTTCAGAGAATGTATGGAAATGCCTGGATGTCCAGGCAGAAATCTGCTGCAGAGGCAGAGCCTACATGGAGAAGAACCTCTACTAGGTCAGTGCAGAGGGGAAATGTGAATGTGAAGTTCCCACACGGGGTCCCCACTGGGGCACTACCTAGTAAGGATAAGGCCACCATCATCCAGACCCCAGAATGGTACATCCACCAACAGCTTGCACCATGCACCTGGAAAAGCTGCAGGCACTCAATGCAGTCTGTGAAATCAGCCCTGGGGACTGTACCCTGCAGAGCAACAGGGGTGGAGCTACCCAAGGCCAGGGGGCCCAACCCTTGCATCAGTGTGGCCTTGATGTGAGACATGGAGTAAAAGAAAATTATTTTGAAGCTTTAAGATTTAATGACTGTCCTGCTGGGTTTCAGACTTCATGGGGCCTGTAGCCCTTTGTTTTGGCTGATTTCTTCCTCATGGAATGGGTGTATTTACCCAATGCCTGTAACCACATTGTATCTTGGAAGTAAATAGCTTGTTTTAGATTTTACAGGTTCATAGGTGGAAGGGAATTACCTTGTCTCAGATGAGATTTTGGACTGTGGACTTTTGAGTCAATGCTGAAATGAGTTAAGACTGGGGGACTGTTCAGAAGGGATAATTGTATTCTGCAATGTGAGAACATGAGATTTGGGAGGGATCAAGGGTAGAATTATATGGTATGGCTCTGTGTCCTCACCCAAATCTTATGTTAAATTGTGTTCTCCAGTGTTGGAGGTAAGGCCTGGTGGGAGGTGATTGGACCATGGGGGTGGTTTCTAATGGTTTAGCACCATCCTCCTAGTGCTGTCTCATGATAGAATTCTCACAAGATCTGGTTGTTTGAACGTGGGTAACACCTACCCCCTTTGCTGGCTCTCTCTTCTGCCAGCTATGTGAAGATGTGTCTGTGTCCTTTTCACCTTCCATCATGATTGTAAGTTTCTTGAGGCCTTCCCAGGAGCAAAAATCTATACAGCCCACAGAACCCTGAGCCTATTAAACCTCTTTTCTTTAAAAATTACTCAGTCTCAGGTAGTACTTCATAGTAGTGAGAGAATGGATCAGTACACCAGTGAAATCATATGTTGCTGAGTTTTTCTTTTGGGCAGAGTATTGGTTATGATTCAATATATTTTCTACTTATAGATATGTTCAAATTTTCTGTTTGTTCATGATTCAGTTTTGGTAGGTTGTGTGTTTCTAGTAATTTGTCCATTTTATTTACATTATAGTTATATTATGTTTTATAAATATAAACTATATCTTTTTTTTCCAACAACCTATTGTTTAGATTGAGACAATATTCCTGCAATTTTTCTGATTTTTTTCTTTAGCCAAACATTATACTCTAATGAGAAGGAATTAGGGTTTTTTCAATCATCAGATTCCCTTCTACATATTTGTGGTCTTTATGATTTTTTCTATTCTACTTGTTTAAATACATGCAAATAGTGCTTTGGGCTTCCAATATCTGCAGCCACAACATCATAGTAAATAAGTTAACCACAGAATAATGTCAGTGTTTGGTCTGAACAATTGCACTTCAGTTGCTTTCTAATCTAGATTTGGTGTTAGTATCATAAGTATGTTTTTTCTTCTTCTTATTATTTTTTTTTTAGCCAGAGTCTTGCAGTGTCACCCAGGCTGGAGTGCAGTGGCAGATCTCAGCTCACTGCAAACTCCGCCTCCCAGGTTCAAGTGATTCTTGTGCCTCAGCCTCCTGAGTAACTGGGACTACAAGCACATGCCACCACACCTGGCTACTTTTTTTGTTTTTAGTAGAGACGAGGTTTCGCCATGTTGGGTAGGCTGGTCTTGAACTCCTGGCCTCAAGTGATCAACCCACCTCAGCCTCCCAAAGTGCTAAAATTAGAGGTGTGAGCCACGATGCCCAGCCAGTCATAAGTTTCTTTCTGATTAGGTAAAGCTTATGCTCTCTTGTTACAAGTAGTCTCTTGAATTTCAAGATTTTAGAATATTTTCCCACTTATATAACAACTATTTAATATATCTACTTATAATCACTCTACCTTAATGGTCACATTTCTTATATCAATACAACATGTATTATAGAAAGTCATATTCTAAAAATATATATTTCCCTTGTGCTTTGTATTTCTTTTTGCAGTTTGTATTTGAAAATAACTATGAATTCATCAGAAGTTGCAAGAATAATACAGAAAATCCTGAAGTGCAAATTACAGATGAGTTTCTTGATCACAGATTATTGTCCTGTCCCGTTCATATTTCTTTTTTTAAAGGAATTACAGCCAAATTTTTGTAGAAAGACAGCAAGAAAGGTACTGAATTATATGCAAGACTTTGACATTGTGGTAAGTAGAATACCCCTGCAATGATGTTAGTGTCCTCATTTTTGGAATATGTAAATGTTTTATACTACATGGAACAGATAATTTGCAGATGTAATTAATGTAGAGAAATTATCCTGGTTATCCAAAAACAAGGAATTTTTTTTTTTTGAGTCTGAGATACAGCAGAAAGAGAAGCCAGAAAGTTTAAAAGCATGTGAAGAACCTGAGTCACCATTGCTGGAGGGAGCCCTATGGAAAGCATGAGAAGAAATGTAAGAGCCTTTTGAAGCACAGATTGATCCCATCTGATAACCAACAAGGAAATGGGGCTTTAGGCATATAATTCCCAAGGAACTGTATTCGTCCAGCAGACAACATGAGCTCAAAAGTATATTTTCCTCCAGATTCTCTGGGAAGAACACAGCACTACAAACATGATTTCAGCCTCCTGAGATCCTATGCAGATGTCCTAGTTTAGTACACCCAGACTTCTGATCTAAAGAAGCTGTGAGATAATATATTTCTCTTGTTTTAAGCTGGTACATTTATTTTATGTCAGCAATAGAAAATTAATACAGACATTAAGTATTTGTGTGACTTTGGAAAAGCTAACTAAATTATTTAAGCATTGTGCCCTAGCTAATTTATCAAATGTTTATTGAGTGTTTTGTATGTATTGTTAGTCATTCAAAGATACATGTGAAAAGAAGCCAAGTTGAATAGCATACAATCTCTATCCTTATCTAGAGGAAAAACTATAGAGATGATGGCTAAGGTCTCTTTAGACACTAAAATTTTATACATAAACTTTAAATATTTATTATATGAGTGCCAATAGTAATTTAGGAAAGCTGAATGATCGTAGTTAATTTCCCCGTTAAGATGGCTTGTGACTCGTGGTACTGAGATTTGAATGCTTTAAATATTGATGGTCATTCTAAACTTTTCATAGATTACTCTAAAACAATACCAATAGTTAAATATTAATAAAATAATAATAATAAATAGAAAATTGAAATAGATTACATGGAAAAATAGCATCAAGAAATATGCACTATAAATCTAGTTTTGAAGAAATTAAAAATAAACATTATTAGAAAAGTTATAACAAATTTTTTATTTGGTTTGAAAATTCTATATATTATTTCAGGAAAAAATGTAATTTTATTTATATTAGAGAACATTTATCATCAGGTAAGATATTTTGGATTTTTAACATTTTATCTTGATGTCCGTAGATTTAGGTGGTATTTTAAAAGAAGAATGGCACAATTCCTGAACACAAAATAACTTTCGCAGTTTGAATACTTTCAGAAAGTATTACACTGATAATAAACTGTTGTTTTTAATTTAATATCTAAATTGAAATTAAGTACTTCAAAGGTTATTTTTCAATTGTACAGGATTTAAAAACCATATAAGGAGCCATCTTTATAGATAATAATTTTACCATTTAATAAATGCATCAAACATTGCAAAATATATATTTTTTTTAATGAAAAAGACTAGCAGGGCTTTTGCTCCTTTTGGACCAAATCACTAAAACCTAACAACAACTTGAAGCCTTATTTATAGAATGGCATTTATTATAATATTTCTGAGTTTGTCAGTCATGCAACTAATTAATCAACTTAGGACTGTGTCTCCAAAGATAGAGTTTAAAAATAAAATCAATATGTACTTTTATTTTAACTAACTGAATATTACAGGTAAGATTTTAGTAAACATTTTGTAGTTAGCAATATAAAATTAAAATACAAAAATATTTATGGCAGATGGCCCAGAAACTATGCTTTGTTTGTCTGATTAAAATGCATATTTACCAATCACTTCCAAATAATTTTTCTAGAACTTCTATGTGAAATGTGCACTTTTTGATTTTAAAAAATCAGGAAATAATACATGTGCTTAATGTAAGAGAGATGAGTTCAACTGAGCTTTAACTGGATGAGTCATGCATCATTTGCATTGCCATTAACTAACAATCATCCTTTAATTCCCCTTGGCTTTCACATCTCAAACATTCCATGTGCCTAAAGTTACCCAAACTCCCACAGCAATTATCAGAACAAAACAAGTGGACCAATTCTTCAAGAAAAAGAAAGAACTGGAACCCAAAATGATCATATATGCATTACACCTCCCTCTACCACACACCGCTTAAAAGCACTGGCTATCTGTTATTATTTGTAATAATATAGAAGCTAGATCTCTGCTCAGCTGTACCTGTAGATCCTACAGTTTTTTTTGAATATTAACAATGCATTATTTATAAATAAAATTTTATTACTAAAAAGATTAGTATTGCATACACTCTGAGAAATTTGGTGACAGCTAGATAAAATATAAGTTCAGGTGAAATACTATCTATAAATATATGAAAAAATAGCAGGGCTACCAGCATTTCTGTTAATGGCATAAGATCAGATAGTATGAAAAAACACTGGGGACTAGTTTGGTTTTTTTTGTTTTTTGTTTTTTTTTGAGATAAACTCTCGCTCTGTCGCCCAGGCTGGAGTGCAGTGGTGCTATCTCGGCTCACTGCAAGCTCTGCCTCCTGGGTTCACGCCATTCTCCTGACTCAGCTTCCCGAGTAGCTGGGACTACAGGCACCCACCACCACGCCTGGATAATTTTTTTGTATTTTTAGTAGAGATGGGGTTTCACCGTGTTAGCCAGGATGGTCTCGATCTCCTGACCTCGTGATCTGCCCGCCTCGGCCTCCCAAAGTGCTGGGGTTACAGGCGTGAGCCACCGCGCCTGGCTGGGGACTAGTATTTTTTTAATGACATGTTACCAAATGAAAAGAAAGTGTGCCCTTAAAAAAAATAATATTGGCTATTTGTTTTGGCCAGTTAGTGGAATTCTATTTTGTACCACCACCTATTCCTGCATTGTTAAACATGCACTGGGTGCCCTAGGTAACCACGGCAATCTTGGCTTAGGTAACATAGGAAGAAATACAGTGATGCATGACCGCAATACTTCTTGGCCCTCCTAGAAGTACATTTATCCAGGAATTAGACTTTTGAAGAAAAATGTTATTTCACATGTTCGAGAGCAATTGACTTTAAGATTGTGAAAGGAAAATAAAAAACCGAGACCCCAATTAACTATGACAAGAGAAAAAAAGCTGTAAGAAAAGTCATGTAAGAACTGGCCTTTCCTTTTGTTCCTAAACAGATATCTACAGATAAAAGGTTAAATATCTCCACAGGTGGCTATTCTATATTCACATTATGTTATATAAAGTGCAAATTTGATTTACCGAGCATGAGACAAGTACACAATTGGCTATTCCCCTACCTGCTTCTTTTCTATTGCAACATGTGGATTACCAAACCCTTCCTCTATTCCCTCCAGCCCGCTTTTCCCTATAAATATTGAATTTCTCAAAGTAATCTCTGAAGAAAGACACAGATCATAGGCTGTTTCTGTTATTTTATTTTATTTTTTTCTCCTTGGCATTGTCCTTGACTTTGGTGAAATAAACTTCTAAATTGTCTCAGTTGCTTTTTGGTTTATAGGATAAACAATTTCCTATACTTAAAATTGTGAAATGGCATACCTCATTCACATTATAGTAAAATGATTTGTATTTGGGTTGTTGCTCAAAATATTGGATAAAATGACTAAAAATGTTTACAATTATGTGAGATTTTTTTCAATGGGCTGTATTATACTTTCTGGGAGACAACATGATTTTCTATGATACTATTGATGAAGCATGAAGTATGGCACAAGAAAGACCAGCTACACCACTATGTAACCCTAGAAAAATGATTTAACCTGTACATGAATTTGCTCCTTGATCTATAAGTTGGTAATGTTAAATAATTAATGCTTAAAACTATTGCCGTGTATTAAATGAAATAATGTATATTAAGCAAATAGAGGATATAAGCCTCAACAAAGATGAATCTTATTTGTTTTATGTAGTTCTTACTTATAATGAGACTATTATTTAGTTATATTTTAAATTTATACCAATATATAATTTTCAAAGCACATTTATTACTACAGTTGATTCCCTCAAATTAATTCTATGCAGTTGGCAGAGTTATAATGACCCCTGATTTTCCTACCAAACAATGTTACAGAAAAAATACAGAAAAAGTATACAGAAAAGTTAAGTGACTTGATTGTGATTTTATGGTGGCAGATATGTGACTTAAACGTAATCAGTCTTCTACATTAAAGATTGCTTCTTTTGTATTGCATAACACTGCCTTTCTAGAACATAGATGCACTATTAGAAAATAATAACCCTAAGAGTTGAAACATAACAGATTTCATAACTCACCAGTATTGGGAAGAAATTTTCTGAGAAATGACTAGGTTGAGCCCTTATTTTCCAAATTTAGTATCTGTAATATTCAGGTAATGGATGATATCTGCAATCTGTCAATCCACATGTTAGATGAGTGAAAATGGTATTTTATTTGTGTCATATGAAATAAAAATCTTGTACTTTTCTTTTAAATCTTAAAATACCAGTAACCTATTCATTTAAGGTGTTTAGATATAAACTGCCTGAGCATAGACAAGAAGATATATTAAGATTTAGCCTATTTTTTGTTTGTGTGTACAAAAATAGTCAAACTGTAAAATATTTGAAGAGATTTATTCTGAGTCCAATATAAGGGACAAATGGACTGTGACACAGCCCTCAGGAGATCCTGAGATTATGTGGCCAATTGGTCAGGGTACAACTTGATTTTATACATTTCAGGGAGACATAAGGCATTAATCAATACATGTAAAATGTACATTGGTTTGGTCCAGAAAGGTGGGATGGCTCGAATTGGGGACTTCCAGGTCATAGGTAGATTTAAAGATTTTCTGATTGACAATTGATTGAAAGAGTTATTGTCAATAGAAAGAAATGTCCAGGTTACAAAAAACAGGTTGTGGAGACCAAGGATTTATCATGCACATGAAGCCTCTAGGTAGCAGGTTTCAGACAGAATAGATTGTAAATGTTTCTTTTCTTTTTTTTTTTTTTTTTTGAGACGGAGCCTCGCTCTGTCACCCAGGCCGGACTGCGGACTGCAGTGGCGCAATCTCGGCTCACTGCAAGCTCCGCTTCCCGGGTTCACGCCATTCTCCTGCCTCAGCCTCCCGAGTAGCTGGGACTACAGGCGCCCGCCACCGCGCCCGGCTAATTGTTTGTATTTTTAGTAGAGACGGGGTTTCACCTTGTTAGCCAGGATGGTCTCGATCTCCTGACCTCATGATCCACCCGCCTCGGCCTCCCAAAGTGCTGGGATTACAGGCGTGAGCCACCGCGCCCGGCCGTAAATGTTTCTTATCAGACTTAAAGAGTTTATTCTATTAGTAATTCCAAAAGGGAGGAGGGTATAATGAGGTATCCTTGGTTCTTTCCCATCATGGTCTGAGCTAGTGTTTCTCGTTAATTTTGGAATGCTCTTGGCCAAAAGATGTGGTCCATTTAGATGCTTGGCTGGGGGGCTTAAAATTTTATTTTTGGTTTAAATTTGGTTTCTTAACATTAATGTTTATACAAGCTATGAACTGAATTTCTTCATTATATCAATATTTCCTTTCTCTGAAAGCAAGAATAAACTAGAAATAATTAATAATTTATTATTTTTTCTAGTTATTTTCTGTGTCAGTTTGTTGAATTATTTATTCAGTTAATCTTTATATTACACACTACCTACCATATACGGGAAATTATAGTTATCCAATGTTGAGCAACAACAGGTCCAATCTCAGGTCACATGGGGCTTTGGATGAAGATTGAAGATAACATAAAATGAGGCTGAAATGACAAACAGGGTTAAAATCATACAAGAATTTAAAGGCCAAGTTAAATATATCTGTCTTTATTTCAATAGCAGCAGGAAAGTCTTGAATAAGTTTAGCAAGGGAATACATCATGCACATGGGAAAGAGAAGACAAAATGAAATTGGTGTTTGTTGTTAAAACATTTTTTTCTGAGGAAGATCATATGTCATATATCTCAGACATTTTCTTCACGGTAAATAAATTGCACTAGAAATATAACTAGCATTCTTAAAATGCATTTTTAGCAATTTGTTAAAGTATAGCATACACATAGAAAAATTCATAAAAATATCACATCAATGAATTATCACAGTAAAGCACATCTATGTAATAAACATAAAAAAAATAGGTTGCTACCAACATCCAAAATAGCCCTTCAGCTTTCTTCAGAACCAAAATATCTTCCCTCTTCTACAAAGGTAGCTAGTATACTGGCTTCTAAAATTATAGCATAGTTTTGTCTTTTTTAAAAGCTTTTGAGCTTTATATCAATGGAAATATAAGTATGTATTATTTGTGTCTAGCTTCTTTTGATCATTGTGATCAAAAGAATTGATCACAATTCTTTTCATTCATTTATGTCCTTTTCATTCATTTATATTGTTACATGTAATTATTTATTATACTTTCTGTATATTTTTCCATGAAATAAATATACCAAAATTTATGTATAAATTTTACTGTTGGACGTTTGGAATGTTTATAGTTTGAGCTGCATAGTTTTGCAATGAATGTTCTTTAACATATATATTAGTTTGTATAATCATAAATCTTTTTGGGGTATATACCTAAAAATAAGATAGAATGGTCATTGGCTATGCATGCATTTTAATTTGGTAGATAATGATGAACAGTTTTCCAAAGTGGTTATGTAAATGCATACATCCACTGTTCATACATTAGAGTTTCAGTTGCTTTACATCTTTGCTTATATTGCTATTATTTTTTAATTTGCCATTCAATCAAGAGGGTCAATCCACTGGAAAAAATGTAACAGTTTTAACATGTATCCCCCAAATAACAGAGTTTCCAAATATACAGCCATATTTTATAGAATAAAAATGAAAGTAGATAAATCCATCATCACGGTGGGAAATTTTAAAACATCACACTCAGTAACTGATAGAACAAGAAAATAATAAAAACATTTCATCTCCAGATGATTCAATTAACAGAATTTACAAAAGTGACCCAATTTGCAAATTGAAATAGTTGTAAATAACTGTTTAATAACAGATGTTTTCAAATGTACGTTATACTTCTACCCAAACTGACCACATGTAAGGCTATTAAAAATATCTAAAGAAATTTTAAAGTATTGAAATCATTCAAGGTATATTTTATGGCTACAGTGGAATTAAGCCTAAAAATCAATAATGCAATAAAAAAGTTCAACTATTTAGAAATTTAGCAAAATACATCAAAGAAATTTATCAAATTAGAAATCATAATGAAAAGTAAAACATTTTGATTTGTAAACTAATGATCATACAGCATATCAAAACTTGTGGAATGCAGCAAGTCTGTGCAGAGAAGAAAATATATATTCAAAAATTTATAAATAAGAAAAGATGGTAAGTCAAAAATCAATAACCAAATATTTATATCAAGAAGTGAGTAAAAGGACATCTTATTGTATACCAAAAATGTAGAAGTTAGAAAATAAAAAGAGTATTTATTAAATACAAAATAAACAATAGAAGTTAGTTTATTAACAAAGCCAAAAGTGGATTTTTTGAAAGATTAACATTTGATAGACATTTAACCAAATTGAGCAAAATGAAAATACATAAATAATTAAAGACACAAATTTGAAATACCAGGGATAAAAAGGTGCTATCACAAGATATTTTACAAATTTTATAAAGATTTTTAAATAGCATAATGAAAAATTTTAAAGTACAAATAAAATTTTGCATAAAATTGAATAATTCCTAGAAAAACACAAATTATCAGAATTGACACAAGATAAAATAAAAATATATAAATAGCACTGTATCTATTAAAGTCAGTAAACTGGCAAATAAATGTTTCCCCACAAAATATCTTTGGTGCCAGATGTATTCACTTCTGAATTTTTCCAAACTTTTAATAAAATGTGACACTAATTGTACACAACTTTCTTGGAGAAACAAAAAAGGGGAGAAGGAAAGAGAGAGAGGTTGGATATAGAGAGTAATGGGGTCAGTGTAATTTTGTGAATAACAAATAACAGGAAGGGAAACTTAGGGGTAATCACGTTCATAAACATAAATTCAATAATTCTAAAAAATAACAAATAGAATCCAGTGATTTTTTAAAGGTACAACACATCATTAACAAGTTGGTATTATTTTCTCATGCAGGGCAGACCACATTTTAACAACAATTACCTTCTTTTATCACATTAAGATAATAAAGTAGTAAGTCATCTTCATAGATGCAATGCAGAATAAGGATTTGAGAAAATTTCACAATCATTCAATGTAAAAAAAAAAACTATGGTAAGCAAGGAATATAAGGAATTTCTTTTATCTGACAAATGGTATATATTTAAAATCTACAGCAAATATAAAATTTAATTAGTAAAATACGACATTTCCCTATTTCCCCTCTCATGATTAAAAATGAGATAAAAATGCCCATTATTCTCTCTTCAATTCAAACCTATACTGGATATCTTATCCAGTGTACTATGAAAAAATAAAGCTCATTATTTGTAGACAACATGAATATGAACATAAGAAATTTGAAATATTTGTGTGACAAATTGAAATATAAATAATATAGCAATGTCTTTGAATTAAGATAAACTATAAAAATATTCATATAGATAAAACCAAAATGTTTTCCTACATTTCACCATACAGAAAAATTCCAACTAGATCATATAACTAAATTTAAAATAAAAAGTATTCTAAAACAAAAATATAGAAGTATTTCTTCATACATTTGAGACAGCAAAGATTACTTAAACAGTACATAAACTGTTAACCAAAATGGAACAATTGATGTAATACATTAAAATCAAGAGTTTCTCTCCCTTTTACATGCCCTTAAAATATAAAATTTATAGAGTAGTAGTTTATATTATAATTAAATATATTCAATATAAAATTTATTTCCAGAACTAATAAAAATCTTTAAAATGCCAGAGGAAAATCTGATAGAAAAAGGGACAAAAACCATTTAAATAGAGACTTTTAAAAGTGGTTATTCAAATGACCAATAAACCTATCAAAAAGTGCTCAACTCCATTAGTCATCATGAAAATGTGTATAAAAGCCACAGTGACATATAACTACAAACAACAAAGAATGGCTAGAAATAAAAATAATGATAAATGTTGGGAAAGGTATAGATTTTCTCTAATTGTCATTTATGCTGGTAGGAGTATAAATTGTTTATATACATTTTGGAAAGTCATTTGGCAATATATTTTAAAGCTCAACATATGAATAATCTATGATCTAACAATTCTACTTCTGGGTGCAAAATAGATAGATTGTTTATAATTCACATTCTACTTGAAATTTCTGTCAAGATTTACTGCTGTTAACTCACTCTCAGAAGACTCTTTCCACTTCATTTTCCATATTTCTCTTCCCTCCTGTTTTTTTCAATCTTGATGATCATTCCTTGATAGTATTTCTCTTTGTTGGGAGATTATGTCCTATGGGTATCACATGTTTCTGTCTATCTTATGAGTACAGGAATTACTGCCTTTGTTCCATTCTACCTTTCAAAAAATGTGTGGTAAAAACCTTTGAAGATATAGTGTTTCCCTTTGGAGCAAAGGGTATCTTTTCTTAAAGCATTGGAAGATATATGTTCTCCCTTAAGAGCATTAGACGGACATGCTTATGGGTCATAGTACAATACTGAGGTCTCCTAAACTCACAATTGTTCTCCTATAATGAACCCACTATATGTGCAAGTATCATCTGGCAAATGTCATATGGCTATATGAGAACTAGGGGTGGGATAACTGATGCCAATGCTCATGCTCTGGCTATAGCTATTGTCATGAGCAATATAGTTCTGTGTCTCTGTATCAGAAGTGTCACAGATTCTGAGAGCATTCATAAAACTGGCTAACTTTGTTAGCTTGTTAGCTAGAATAAAATCTCAGACCCTGGCATCGTTTGGATTTGTGTCCCCATGCAAATCTCATGTCAAATTGGAGGAGGGTCCTGGTGACAGGTGACTGAATCATGGGGGTGGATTTCCCCCTTGCTGCTCTTGTGATAATGCGTGAGTTCTCATGAGATTTAATGATTTAAAAGTGTGTGGCACTTCCCCCTTCACTCTCTCTCTCTCTTGCTCTGCCATGGATAGATGTGCTTGCTTCTCCTTTACATTCTACCATGAATATAAGTTTTCTGAGGCCTCCCAGTCATGCTTTCTATTAAGCCTACAGAACTGAGACAATTAAACCTATTTTCTTCATAAATTACTCAGTTTCAGGTAGTTCTTTATAGGAGTATGAGAACAGACTGATACAGAAAAATTGTACCAAAAGTGGGGTACTGCTTTAAAGATACCTGAAAATGTGGAAGTGACTTTGGAACTGGGTAACAGGAGAGGTTGGAACAATTTGGAGGGATAAGAAGAAGACAGGAATATGTGGGAAAAATTGGAACTTCCTAGAAACTTGTTGAATGATTTTGACCAGAATAGTGACAGTAATATTAACAATGATGTCTGGGCTGAGGTGGTCTCAGATGGTGATGACAAACTTACTGGGAACTGAAGTAAAGGTCACAATTGCCATGCTTTAGCAAAGAGACTGGCTCTAGAGATCTGCCCCTGCTCTAGAGATCTGTGGAATTTTGAACTTCAGTGAGATGATTTAAGGTATCGTGTGGAAGAGATTTCTAATCAGCAAAGCATTCAAGATGTGACCTGGCTATTTCTGAAGGTGTATGCTTGTATGTATGAAAAAACAGATTGTCTGAAACTGGAACTAATATTGAAAAGGAAAGTAGAGCATAAAAGATTGGAAAATTTGCAGCCTGACCATGTGGTAAAAAAGAAAAAAAAAACATTTGGTGGAGAGAAATTCAAGCCAGCTGCAGAAATTTGCATAAGTAAACAGGAGTGGAATGTGAATAGCCAAGACAATGGGGAAGAATGTCTCCAGGGAATTTCAGAGACCTTCATGATAGGTTGTCCCATCACAGGCATGGAGGCCTAGGAGGAAAAAATAATTTTGTGAGCCAGGGCCAGGGCCCAGCTGCTCTATGCAGCCTCAGGACATGGTATCCTGCATCCCAACCACTCCAGCTCCAGCTGTGGCTAAAAGGGGCCAAGATACAGTTTGTACCATTGTTTCAGAGAGTGCAAGCCCCAAGCATTGGTGGCTTCCACATGGTGTTGGGCCTTTGGGTGTGCAGAAGTCGAGTTGAGGCTTGGGAATGTCTGCCTAGATTTCAGAAGATGTAAGGAAACACCTGACTGTCCAGACAGAAGTCTGCTGTAGAGAAAGGGCCCTCATAGAGAACCTCTACTAGGGCAGTGCAGAAGGGAGATGTGGGGTGGGAGCCCCTACACAGAGTCCCCACTTGGGGCATTGCCTAGTGGATCTCTGAGGATAGGGCCATCATCCTCCAGAACCCAGAATGGTACATCCACCAACAGCTTGCACTGTTCACCTGGAAAATCTGCAGACACTCAATGCCAGCTCAGGAAAGCAGCCTTGGGGACTGTACCTTGCAGAGCCAAAGGGGCAGAGATGCCCAACATCTTGGGAGCCCACCTCTTGCATCATCATGGCCTGGATATGATACCTGGAGTCAAAGAATATCATCTTGAAACTTTAAGATTTAATGACTACCCTGCTGAGTTTCAAACTTGCATGGAGCCTGTAGCTTCTTTGTTTTGGTTGATTTCTCTATCTTGGAATGGAAGCATTTACAAGATCCTTGTACTCACATTGTGTCAGACATAATTAACTTGTTTTTGATTTTACAGGCTCATAGTTGGAAGGGACTTACCTTGTCTTAGATGAGACTTTGGACTGTGGACTTTTGAGTCAATGCTGAAATGAGTTAAGACTGGGGGACTGTTAAGAAGGGATAATTGTATTCTGCAATGCTAGAAGGACATGGGATTTGGAAAAGGCTGAGATGGAATAATATGGTTTAGGTTTGTGTCCCCACCCAAATCTCATATCAAATTAGAGTAGGGATCAGATGGGAGGAGACTGGATCATGGGGGCAGAATTCCCCCTGACTGTTCTTGTGATATTGAGTGAGTTCTCATGAGATCAGATGGTTTAAAAGTGTCTGGCACTTCCCTCTTTGCTCTCTCTCTCACCTGCTCTGCCATGTGAGAATGTGCCTGCTTCCCCTTTGCTTTCCACCATGATAGTAAGTTTCCTGAGGCCTTCCAGTTAGGCTTCCTGTTAAGCCCATGGAACTGTGAGCCAATTAAGCCTGGTTTCTTTGTAAATTGGCCAGTCTTAGGTAGTTCTTTATATCAGTGTGGAAATGGAATAATACATATCATTTATAGATTTTAACTCTTAAGCTCTTCTAAACCCAAAATTAGATGTTTTGTGCCCTGTAACTTTATTCTTAGCCTTCTTCTTATACTATAGTTTAATCTACACCAATGCCTTATCATTTATCATGTTAATCTAAACATATTGTTTATTACACTTAGCTCCAAATATCCAACTTCTGTAGTGAATCTTTATTTGGTTGTCTCTCTGGCATCTCAAATTCAGAATATCCCTTTATGAAACCTTCATACTTTCATAAAAATTTGCTCCTCTTTTCATATTCCATATTACGGTGGTTACCAACATCCACAATATCACTCAGAGATGAATTGTATAAGTTATCCTCAATGTATCATTTTCTGTTACTCCCAATGAAGCTTCAAATTCTTTTCAATATTTTCTTTCCATGTCTTAAATCAATCATTTGCTCTCCATTTTCATGGTCACTAACTTTGTTCATGCAATAATTCTTGCGTGTTCAATTTACTGCTACACTCAATTTAATTATCTTAGTGCCTTTGTTCTTGTTTCTCGTCCACTCTGTTATACCTTTTTCTGATAGAATAATTGTTAGAAAATGTGCTCAGAATAATATATTAACTAGTTACAACTATTTTGAAAAGACATGAATTACTCTATGTCTTTTAATAGAGCCTGAAAATAACAACATGTGGGAGTATTTTAGCATGGCATATAATTTATGTTCAGAATAATGACTCATATTCATAAAAAATGTTGTTACATACACTAATTTATCTGCTTCAAAAAGTATAAAAGTGAGAAAAATTTTAATATTATAATTTAATCACACAAGCATGCTCACACACACCACCCAAAAGTGATTGAGTTTATTTAGAAAATCCACTAATTTGGAAGGCCAATTTCTCTACAGTGCCACATAAACAGGATGTGGTTATACTTTAATATCTTCAGAAATTATAAACACATTAAGAATAGCATTGTCAAATAAGTCAGCAGTGAGGAAGATATAAAATATCATTCTCTTAACTGAAAGGTGTTAATACATATGGTGTAATGACATTTAAGAAAAGGAACAACAAATACAAATTGTTCATTGATGTCTTTCTATACCACAAATGTCAGGGAACCTAAAATATTGGTTTCATAATTTTTAGGGATCTATCTTAAGTGTTTATCTTTTGAATACAAAAGATAGAAATTATGTTAGTTTTTGATTTCTAACTATAACAAGTTACCATACACTTAGTAGGTTAAAACAACATAAATTTATGATTTTATAGTTTTGCAAGTCAGATGTCTGAAATGAGTCTCACTGGGCTAAAACTAAGGTGTCAACAGGGCTATGTTCCTTTCTGGTATCTTTAGAAGACAATCTATTTTCTTGCCCTTCCCAACATCTAGAGGCTACCCAATTTATTTTACTCATGGCCTCCATCCATCTTCAAAGCCAGATACAACTCAAGTTTGTTTTTTTTTTTTTTTTTTTTTTACATTGTACCACTCGGACCTTGTTTTCTGCTTTTCTCTTTCACTTTTAAGCACCCTTGTGATTACGTTGTACCTACCCAGTTAATTCCAGATAATCTTTTTTAAGGCCAACTGATTAGCAGACTTAACTCCATCTGTAATCTTATTTTTTCCCATAAAATATAACATTTATAAGTTCTAGAGTTGAGGACTTGGAAATATTTGGGGGACCATTATTCTTCCTACCCAGGGACATCTTTGGGGTTTTTTTTATAAATGTAACATGCCATATTAATGTTTAAAAATCCAATCTCAAAAGTAATTTACCTCTTAATTGCTCTCTCTCTTTTTCTCCTTTCTTTTCCCCCTCCTTCCCTTTCTCGATCCACACAATTGTAAATACTACCAGAGGATATTTCAAAAAATATATTTTAGAAATATTATCAGCCAACTAACTATGGTCTTTTCTGAGCCATTATATATTACTTTGTGTGGTAATGATTTTTGAATATATTTGTTTTCTTCATTAGATCATGTGCCTCAGACACTTCAGCCTTCTCTTAGTCTTATGTTTCTAAATTTAATATGCTGCCAACAGGTGGAGCACAAGATGAATGTGGTTTGACTGTATAGAAGACTTTACAGATTAATAGAGGCCTTGACATGCTAAGAAGTTTGCCTAAGGTCACCAAGAATACTCTCTGTCTTCTGTCTATAAACATTCCTCATCAGTATAAAAAACCAACAATGTGACACTTATTCATTCAAAAGTATTTGTTGAGGATTGTATGTATGACAGGTATTTTTTGTAAGCACTGAAACTACATTAGCAATCAAAATGGACAAAATCCCTGCTGTCACAGAAAACATGTCCTATTGTCTAGAGAGTTTCAATAAATAAAATAATCAAAGCATTAAGTGCTAGGAAAAATATGGAGCAGGGTAAGAGGTATGGAGAGACAGTGGAGATAATATTAAGTAGAGTGAAGTTTACAATATTAAATAGTATGGTCAGAGTAGACCTCTCTAGAAAAGTGGGCTGTCGACATATCTTTATTAATCTTATTAATGAATGGGTAGAGATATAGGGCAAATAAAACATAGTCAAGGAGAAATAGAACACTTTCTAGTTTTACTCTCTGGGCGTAACAGGAATAAGGAGAATAGAAAGTGATGGTGACGGTTGAGAGAAAAGATGAGAATCTTGAAAGCCTTTAAAGAGGTTGTGGTACATTTATATGTCTCATTTATACATTAAGGACAAATGAAGGATGCTATTTTTCCATTATCCTGGAATCATTGGACATTAAAATAATAGGAATTTTCTCACAGTGGCACAGCTCCAATTAGAGATCAATAACCCTCATACAAGTGAGTCTAAGATAAAATGTCATATTACTGACAGTATTTAAGCAGAGACAAATGGGCTTCTTCCTCAGGGTCTAAAAACACTTTCATCGTTGCAGCACGTGGGATGGAGACTAGCTATAAAGATAACTTCTTGGTTCTTAGAAGAGCAATTTATGGTCATATGTGAATTGATGAGTCTTTTCTCCTATGTATTTTTTCAAATTGTTTTTTTCTATCTTTCAAATAGCAAGTTTTCTAATTCATTCATTAATATTTTAATCAAAATATTATAGAGATAAAATTAAGATATCAAATACTACTATAAGGCCTATACCTAAAAACATCAGTATCCAATGTCACCTATACGCAATGCTTGTTTCTTTTTCCCGGAGTTGATTATTTTCATCAAATATAGCTATTTCACTTGATGTTTGCTTTTATTTAAATACCTACACACTGCTATTTCTTGGTTTATCAATTTTCAATACCCTCTATTAACTTCTCATTTCTTTGGTAAAGACATTATTCTCAAGTGTCTCCTCCCACTAATATTTATGCTCCCAATATACTGATATCACAATTTTAAAAAATGTAATGTTTACTGAGGCAAGTATTTCACAATTCTTACATTCTTTTTCCTGTAAAAGGTTTTGTATTTTCTTTGGTTAATAGCTGCCCTGATTGTGTTGTTTCCATTGTTTTCAAACATGATCAATCAATTCTGTAAAATTTCTGTTACTATTGTGTTCCAAACCACCAAAACATTATATAATATGAATTGAAACTTTATTTCAAAGAGATATAATTTATTCTGCTCTTCTTCTTTCTAAATCAATCTATACTGTTGTTTCTGGGCCTGTTGCACTATGGTCATTGTGGGATTTCACTTTTCCTCTGTAACATTCCCTGTATTCTGAAGCTTGTGCCTTCCTCTTCCCAGAGTGAAGACTGCATTGTTGGCTTCCGTACTTTTGAGGTTTTGGAATCAGATTGACTTCCTTGTTCTTCAGCTTGCAGATGGCCCACAATGAGACTTCACCTTGTGATCATGTGAGTCAATACTCCTTGATAAACTCCCCTTTGTGTGTGTGTGTGTGTGTGTGTATATATATATATATATATATATATATATATATATATCCTATTAGTTCTGTTCCTCTAGAGAACGCTGACCAATACAGACCCTTCCTCTTGGCAAGGGTATTCCAAAGTTAACTTGAGAAACTAGTTAAGTCCATGATACAAAGAGGGCGATGGACATTCCTAATTATACCCTCCTCCTTTTTGGAATTACTGATAGAGAAGACTCTTTAAGTCAGACAAAAAAATTATAATTTATTCTCTCTGAAGACTGCTACCTGGAGACTTCATGTGCATGACAAAACCTTGGTCTACACAACCCCTTATTGTAACCCAGACATTCCTTTATATTGATAATAATTCTTCCAACTTATTGCCAATTAGAAAATCTTTAAATCTGCCTATTACCTGGAAGCTTCCCTTCTAGTGGTCCCATCTTCCCAGACTGAAGCAACGTACATTTTACATGTATTGAATGATGTCTCATGTCTCTCTAAAATATGTAAAACCATGCTGTACCCTGACCACCCTGGATACATGTTGTAGGGAACTTCTGAGGCTATATCATGGGTGTGTTCTTAACCTTGGCAAAATAAACTTTCTAAATTTATTGAGACCTACCTCAGGTACTTTGGTTTACAAATTGGTAACCAAAAAGAGATTCTGAGCTACAATGTTAGAAGTGGCTGAGGGCTGAGGAAAGTTTACATGAAGTGGTCTTAGCTTTTATTCATTTATTATTATTTTTAATTTTCTTCCTAGGAAGATGTTTAGGATCCAAATTATAGTTTAGTAGTGCATTCCAAAGAGTCTCCTCCATTGCCATATCTCCCCAAATTAATTTCAATCAGCTTGTCTGTGAATTTGCATAAGGAAGTGAACTGTCATTCTCATAGATAAATCATATATTGAGCTCCTTAGCTCCAAAGCAAACAAGCATTTTGCTCCTCCCAGCCAAAAGGCACCCTTGGGTGACTAAATGCTGATTGGGAGTGTCTGGGGGTTGACTTCCTAAATTGTATGGTGGCTATATAGGGATTCCCCAACAAAATTTGTTTAAAAAGCCTCATCCAGGAAAGGCATATAAGAGCTGATTAATCAGTGTTTTGAACCCTTTCATAGGTGGTAGACCTCTAGAGAGAGAAGCTGAGACATGTAAGAGGGTGTAAACAATTCAGTGGTGGCACCGTGGAGTCCTACTAACAATTAGCACACTTCGATCCACCACACTAAGAACCCTAAGCCAAAGCTCAGTTCCACATTTTAAGAAAAAACTGGGGAAACAAATCATCTAAGAATGAGGAAAGACAAAGAGAAAGACCCTTTTTCAAGCACCCTGTTTGGTTTTATGGTGCCTTTACTTGCAAGTGTTTGTGTAAATAAAAGAGTATGCCAGGTTTTCTAGTAATCCAGCTGGTTACCCATTTGGTCTGTTCTTGTGCACATTTTAAACTGCTGGGCAAATTACATGAAGGGAAGCTCAGAGCCCAAAGGTTGATTTGCAATGGTAAAGTTCCTAAGTTCTGTGTTCATTTCTATGTTTTATTTTCTGCCTACTTTACGTTTGCTGTTACTTTTCTACTAGTGCTGAAGTGAAAAACAAACAAAAAACGTCATTTGTATCTATCCATTTTTTTGTAAACTGGTGAGTTTATATTGACAACTCATGCTAGATTTCTGATGTAAAAGCTCTAGAATCTGTCTGTGCATGTATATGCATGTTCAGATGTGTTTATATGTACGTACATGTATTTTGTTATGTGTTGTGGCCACAAGGTACCCAAATGGGTTATAATAAAGGAGTACTTATAAAACAGGTAAATAATCCAAAATGCCTTTCAAGTTCACATTACTTAAATGCAATTTTTAATGAATAAGCTGGCATTAAACATATTGGTAAAATAATATTGGAAATGTCTTAAGAATTGTCAGCATATATTTTCTTAGAATTTTTGAATCAAGAGGTTTTCTATTTAATTCTGACAGTTATGAGGTGTCAAAATTAGTCATAAGCTTATAAAACTATAAATTCAGCATAAAACAGAATAATCTCTGTGTTATTTTTGATAAATAAGATACTTAATATTGTTTGTTTAATAAAAACATCTAAATCATGAGTTATTGGTATAATATTGGCATAATACTCATATAGTTAACCATAAAATTTTTATTTGGGAAAACGTAAAATTCATAAGCTATTAAAAGGGCTAAAAGTGAAATAACTTTGATGACTATCACAGTTTTCACAAATAATGTAAACTATTAAAAATAATAAACATAGGCCAGACACAGTGGCTCACGCCTATCATCCCAGCACTTTGGGAGGCTGAGGTGGGTGGATCACAAGGTCAGGCATTCAAGACCAGTCTGGCCAACATGGTGAAACCCCATCTCTACTAAAAATACAAAAATATAACCAGGCATGGTGGCGGGCACCTGTAATCCCAGCTACTTGGGCGGCTGAGGCAGGAGAATTGCTTGGACCTGGGAGGTGGAGGTTGCAGTGAGCCGAGATCGTGCCACTGGACTCAAGTCTGGGTGACAGAGTGAGCCTCTGTCTCAAAAAATAAAAAAATAAAAATAAAATAATATTAAATTAATCACATAAATCTAAATAAATTGCCTAGAAATATAATTTTCATATAATTTAAAATCTAAAGTTATATAAAATTAAATAATAGGTATTTATTAAATATCTGAGTAATTTCCAGTTTAATAAATTGCAGAAAAACTTTTTTGTAAAAAATGTGTTTTTTCTAATTCATAGGTTATCCAGAGGTTATTTATGAAAGAAGGTAAAAGGAACCAGAAAATAAAAGAGATGTAAAAAATGTTTATGGATATAAAGATATATTTGAGGTAAAAATGGTTATGAGAAAGAACCATGCACAGTAAATTTGGACCTAAAATAAAATGGCTGCTTGTTTAAGAGACAGGAACGTTAAGAACAAGCCAGAAAGTCCAAGCATGTCATGAATGGTCTGTGCAAATAATAATAAAGTTCGTAAAAAATTCTAAAAATGTTGTGATTAAGTTGATTATAATTATAGAATATTATAATAGTCTTTCTAAAAATTATAATTTGATATTTGAAAAACACTAATACAGGCTGAATGCAGTGGCTCACGCCTGTAATCCCAGCACTTTGGGAGGCCAAGGCAGGCGGATCACGAGGTCAAGAGTTCGAGAGCAGCCTGACCAACACTGTGAAATCCCGTCTCTACTAAAAATACCAAAATTAGCTGGGCGTGGTGGTGTCTGCCTGTAATCCCAGCTACTCAGGAGGCTGAGGCAGGAGAATCACTTGAACCCAGAAGGCGGAGGTTGCAGTGAGCCGAGATCACGCCACTGCACTCCAGCCTGGGCGACAGAGCAAGACTTTGTCTCAGAAAAAAAAGAAAAGAAAAACACTAATACAAAACTAAAGAATTGGTTAGAACAAAATTTTCTTATAATATTGACTGAATAAAATTGTAAAAAGTTTTTAATTTTTTTTTTTGAGATGGAGTCTCGCTCTGTCCCCCAGGCTGGAGTGCAGTGGCAAAATCTTGGCTCACTACAAGCTCCACCTCCAGGGTCCACGCCATTCTCCTGCCTCAGCCTCCTGAGTAACTGGGACTACAGGCGCCCGCCACCACATCTGGCTAATTTTTTGTATTTTTATTAGAGGCAGGGTTTCACCATGTTATCCATGATGGTCTTGATCTCCTGACCTCGTGATCCATCTGCCTCGGCCTCCCAAAGTGCTGGGATTATAGGCATGAGCCACCATGCATGGCCAAAAGTTTTTAATTTTTAAATTATATGATCTCTTTCTTTTTGAAATTCTTCACATTGATACCTCAGAAGTTATTCAGTTGAATCCTACTGCTTCTGCTCTTTTTTCTCTTTTAAAGCCTAGGATGGCAAATTTCCCCTTCAACTTTTGTTGGCTCCTGTAATGTTTTTTAAGTTAATGGTCTAAAGTAATAAAAAATTACTGAAAACCGGCAAATAAAAATTTTTATAGGACCTGCCTCTGTCTGTGTGTTTGTTATGTCTGTATATTTACATATGTCATGTGGAAGTAACATTTTAGTACCAATTATATAAAAGAGCTCTAATCAATTGGTTTGAAAAAAATAAGTGCCTATCAGACTAATAAAAGCTAGCTCAGAAGCTTCTTAGTGCATATGACTAGTAAACTTTGGTAAGATTAATTTGGCAAATTTCATCTCAATTCACTGCAGTCATTTAAAATTTTAAAGTCCTGTTCTGTTAAATTAAGTGATCCTCGATTTCCCACTAGGAATTTGGGTTTCTATGAGTCAAAATAGTAGAAGAGTAAAATGTTTTCACTACAGTTATAAAAACATGATAATATAGTTTTTGCAAAATAAAATATAATGTTTCTAGTTTAGAGGTTACTTAAGAGTTGCTTTAAAGTAAATGAAAAAATATGTAAATAAAGCTAATGAATAATGAGAAATAAAAGAATGAGAAATGAGAAGCCTTTGACTCTTGGGTGATGATGTAGTCACCCACAGTATAGAGCTGCAGCAAGGCTGTGTTCAGTTACTAATGGTAAAAGTTTCCAGTGGAATTTACAGATGGATCATACTCCCAGGGTGTTGGTTAACTGAATGAATAAGGAAATGCAAACTAATAAAGAAAAAGAAAAATATGTAATTACTTAGTTATTATCTGTAATAGCAAAAAAACTAATAAGTAACTCTGAGATCTGTTGTTACCAAGAAGATAGTCAATGTAGGGGATAGGCAAAATCAAGTAACTATTAAAATCAGAAGGTACAGTGTAAAGTGAACAATGACTTGAGAAGCCTTATCAAACTGGCTGGCCCTCATAGGTTTTAGAGCAATAAGGAGTCAAAGGACTCATCCCATCAGGGTGGAAATCCTAAGATGACTATTGTAAAATGTAATAAATAAACCTGAAATAGATAAGATTAAAACAAACATCTTCACAACACTTTCAAAGGTTGGATGGACTAAGGGAGACCCTGCTGGTCCCTCAACATTAAAGTGCCCACACCAGTTTTCTGCATTTGCAGAGGATACCTAGACGCCCATGTGTGGAACACAACAGAAGTAAAATCCTTCCCCTGTCTCTCTTGGACTTGGCTGGATACAACTTTCACCAACCCATGGAACCACCCTGTCCTGACAGCTAGCAAGAGGCCAAGACCAACAAAACAACCACCACATCCCCATCAGCAGGAAGCAGTTATAGAATACTGAGTTTCATCAATTTTTCCCAAAGAATTGGGGTATTGGACTCTTGAGGGGGGAAATGTTACAGTAATTTGTTAGGCAGATATGAGCAGGACAGGAGATCCTCTCACCCCAAATACACACCTCCAGGAATGTCAGGCAACCAATAGGTGACGGTCAGGTGGTTGATAAACTGTCTCTCTTAAATAACAATTAGTTGCAGCTGGCACCATGGAAAAGGCAGTCACCCAATAGATTGAAAAAAAAAAAAAGAACCCTGAAGCTGGTGATCAGCAGCTTTCCAATAATATTTCAGGATTTGGGTGAGTGGGCTCAAACATGCATACTAAGAGCAAAATGGCAGAGTTTAGCTGATATATAACCTACCTATAGGAACACATGACTTAAGGGAAAAACATCTCAAATGAGCATGTGTAAAACTTAATTAAACACACTGCACATGTGGCCCATCCCAAGTGTTGGCAGGCCACTGTACAAGCAGACATCTCACCCCAAGGCAAGACTCAAGGAAGAAGTAAAACGGACCATAGAAGTATGTCAACATATAAAATCCTAAGTCAAAGGTCAAGCTATGCACTTAAATCTCTCAAGTTGCCCAATTGGCCCTCTTTTAAGTGTATTTTAACTCCCTTTTGTTTCTGCTCTAAAACTTTTTAATAAACTTTCATCCCTGCTCTAAAACTCACCACAGTCTATCCCTGTGCCTTATGCCCCCTGGTTGAACTATTTCTGTTGAGGAGGCAAGAACTGACTTTGCTGTAGACCTATATGGATTTGTGGCTGTTAACATTGCTAGATTCTACCGTGCCTGATAAACAGCTTTTATTTGACAAGAACTGCATGGCTTTTCAATGGCAGTTCCAAAGTAAGCAAACAAATCCTGTTTGGAATCTACTGTTCTTGTTAAAGAATAATTAAGAAAATATTTTTCCTTTGAGTTACTTATAGTTTAGAGCAATTAGATAAAGTATGTTTTAGTGAGCAAATTTTACCTTTCTCTCCATCTGTATTATCCCAAATCTAAAAGCTATTTGTGAATATTCTGATTTTATGGTAATATAGCTATTTGCCTAAGTTTAGTAAGCATCTTTTCTTTTGAAACAAGACACAATTGGAGACACTGATTATTTTACCAAGGCTTTGACTTGAATGACATATTTTCAGGTAAAGTTACAGAAAGCCAACTTGAAAAGAATCTATACAGCCAATCAATTCTTGATGCACTTTATGTGAATAATCAAGCCTAGTATAATAAACCTAAAACTTACTTTACACACAAATTCGTCTTACTATAATCTCTGTTTAATAGAAAGGGAAGGCTAGAAAAAAGAGAAATTGTTTTAAAGAGAACTAAAATGCCCATTACTAAGTTCAAGCTCTGACTTTTATTTTTGAGTTCAGATTAAATCATTAATTATTTCTTGGCTACAATAATCATCAAAAAGAGCAATAGGCTATAATTTTCCTCATGTTTTTAGTTGGCACCCTAATGGAATAGATTCCTTTTTATGTTCTGGCACACACATTATCTTTTAATTATCAAATTATTAATATTATTCATGTATTGTAATTTTACTTCTGAGAAAACCAGAATCACAGTATTAGGAAGACTAGAGATGGTTTTTCAAAGGCTGCATATTTCCCACATTTGGAGTCCCACTGGGCCTGATCTGTTTATCACTGCAAATGCCCTGCTGCTGAAACTATACTAGCACCCACCATTTTGGCCCAGCGAAGAGGTGGGTATATGAGATTCTAATGGCCAGTTTTGAGGTTTATAATTAGATTAGACCGTCCAAATAAAGGAGGTGCTAAACAACTGGTAAAATAAGGGACATGGCCACCTGGGTTATTACATACGTGGCACCATTTCATCCAACCCATTCATAAACAATTTTCTGTTCCCTACAGAATTAAAAGAAAATTATTACTGAGAGGAAATAAAGATACCTCGTGACAAAGCCTTGTGGGTATAATTCTCCTAGTTATGCAATGTATGCAGATATATATATATATAATTCATTGATCAGCCGCCATAGGACAAATTACCAAAAAAGCACAAAAAGCATTGCAGCACAACAGAAGTCCCTGAATTCCTTAGCTTAAATGGTTTTAACAATGCTTACGTTTTATATAGCTAATTGTTATAAGTCTGTAATTAAAACCAAGATTACAGTAGCTCTATACATAGAAGTTAAAGATACATAAACTGAATTTTGTAACCTGTACTATACCCTTTTGTTTGTTGGCATTTATATTACTTTAAGAATATTAAAGGGTAATAAATGCCTGTCCACATCCAATATTTGGCTTTTTGTTTGTTGGCTTTTATATTACTTTACAAATTTTAAAGGGTGATGAATACCTGTCTACATCAGTTTCTCCCTGGTCAAGAATATTTAACTGGTTATAAGTCTTTTGTCTCTGAGTCTGTTGGTCATAGAGGGTCCCAGCAAAGGACAGGATGAAACTGGGGCAGGCAGCCATGCCATCCTGGAAATACTATGGGACAAAATAAAAGTTTGGTGGTCATTGATGTTGCCTCAGGCTAATCTTGGTCAGAAGGAGGAGAATGTAAGCAAAAAATAAAATTATAAACCCCCTAACCATCTGAATGGAACTCTCCTCTAAGCAAGAGCACTCCAAAGTTAATCAAAAAAACTAGTTCAGGCCACAACGGGAAAGGGGAACTGAACATACCTTATTACACCCTTCTCCCTTTTGGAATTACTGATAGAACAGACTCTTTAAGTCCGATAAGAAATATTTATAATCTATTTCCTCTGAAGCTGGCTACCGGGCGCTTCATATGCATGACAAACCTTGGTCTCTACATCTTGTTATTGTAACCTAGACTTTCCTTCCTATTGATAATAACTCTGTCAACAATTTGCCAATCAGAAATTTTTAAATCTACCTATGACCTAGAAGCCCTAGCTTTGAATTGTCCTGCTCTTCCAGACAAAACCAATTTACATCTTACATGTATTTACTGATGTCTCATGTCTCTCTAAAATGTATAAAACCAAGCTGTACCCCAACTACCTTGGGCACATGTTTCCAGGACCTCCTGAGGTTGTGTTATGGGTGTGACCGTAACCTTGGCAAAGTAAACTTTCTAAATTGATGGGGACCTGTCTCAGATACTTTTGGTTTACAAATATTTGGAGATTGGGATCTCTTTATACATGGCTAGTAAATTTCATGGCATTGTTTCTTGATGTGGCTCCTTTTCTTTTATTGTGCTGCATATTCTAGTGGACACTCTCAATGTGCACATCAAAACAGTTTTATCTTCTTTCTGTTCCTATGTTAGTTAGATATTTGAGTTCCAGTAGAGATATTCTAAAATTCTCATATTTTTCTTTTTTATATCATTTTGTTCTACTTCTTGGGAAATTTACTCATTTGTAGCTCCAAAATACATATTAAAGTTTTCTATTGAGGTTGCCATATTTTTAATGTTCAAAGGCTATCTTTTCTATGTTTTTCCATACAACCCATTGTTTTATGTATAAAATATCTTTTTATTTTTCCATGCATATAATGTGTTTTTAAAATGATTTTTTTTCTGCTTCCTAAGTTGACTCTAATCATTCATTCATTCTTAAATTTATTTTGGTTCTCTCTTTCATCTTGGATATTTCTTTTAAAAGTTGGTTGAACCTAGCATATCCATTCATATTTAAGAGTGAAGTACTTAAAATCTTTGGAAGCACTTCACTGAAATAATAAGGCTTCACTCCAGAGTAAAAATGTGGATAACACACTATTTCATTGATAACCTCTAAAACTAGGCTCTGGAGGTCTTTCCTCTGAGGCTATTTAGTTTTTTAGAAAATAATAAAAATACATATGCCCTTTAACGTAATTCTGATGATTAGAAGTAATCAATGGTTATTTTAGAATAAAATTATTGCAGTTTTTGTCTAAGGAATATGAAAGCAGTACCCAGAAGCCTGGATGCCAATACAGTCATGCATGTACTATAGTGTCACAGTTTGAACCAGATACATAGGAAATTAGTATTTACAATTGTTAAATGAGTCTGAAGGAGCAAGTGCATTCAAAGTTATACTGTCACGATGCGGGTGGGTGCCAGGGCATTCACAATGACTAAACTCAAAGCTGAATTTTAAAATTGAGTGTTCAATTGCCCTTCTTATGCAGGCACGGCAAAAATATCCAAGGAAATTAGTAAAAGTAAAGCAATGTATAAGAATAAAAAAAATGCAAGTTTCCTCTAGTTTATTTTATTTTGCTTTAAATACTTCCAGTAACATTTTTGTATGATCCTTAACAGTATAGCACTATTAACTTCTTTATAAATATTTCTGAATCAAATCTTTTCAGTATAGTTCCAAATATTAGAAGCAATGCTATATCTAATTACTTTGAGTAAGAGATATTTCCAACTAATATTGTTTCTGAACTCATATAATTGATCTTAGATATGCTTTAATATCATGTATCTATTATTTTGCTTGTGAGCAATCCTGAAGAGGGGTAAAATAGACTCATATTTTAAACAACTTGAGTGAGAAAGCACTTTATTCCAAACTGACTTGCTGAGGTCATTCTGTGATATTAATCTTTTGTGGAGTAAAAACAAATATCTACTAAGCAAAATGTAGTTGAATAAGTAGTTTCTCTGCGGCATACTAATACTTTTGGATCATAGCACAAACATCAATGATCCTTGCTACATTCTAAAAGCAGTTTTTAGGGTGCTTGGAAAGTGGATTCTGTAATGGGCTATTAGGGAAAGTCTGAGCTCCAGCCAAGTTATTGTATTCATTACCCTAAAACCTGACATTTTCTCTCCCATCTTCCTGCTTCTGCTCACGGAATTCTTCATAAATTGTAAAATTATTAGTCAGAATAGTGTCTCATACCTGTTAGAAGCATTGGTACCTGGCATAACGGACTGGTAAAATGTTTTCTGTTTGACGATCAATCGGAATAGCCTGACAGGTGCTCAAAACATATTTATCAAATAAATAAAAGATGAAATACAAATACATTGGTTTATTTTAGTCAATAATATTTAGTAAGTTGTAAGGTATGGCTAATTTTTATTTATATTTTAATCAAGTTTCTATCCATATATATTATTAACTATATAGAGTATTACTCTGCTTCTCTCTCTCTCTCTTTGTACCTCCCTCTATAAATATACATTTTTTTCAGACTATTGTGAACAACATGTTGGGCTTAAGTCTTCTACACTATAAAACATTAATTTGTCTTCATGCTTTGATTTAATAGTCCCTGAAATGCTGATAATGTGGAGATCAAATTCTCTAGCTGAGGCTTCCCTTTGGAACTTCTCAATTATACAAAACATAATCTGCATCTGGACAAAACACAGGCAGCTTAATGTGCATATAAGTGAAATTCTCCAATCCTTTATTCTCTGTGACAATAATGGCATGCAATTCTGCCATTCAACCTGGAAACTTTAGAAAGTTAGCATTTCCCTGGTCTCTCAACCCAATTTTTTTATGTATCCCAATTGCCATATATGGCTAATTTTATTTTCTAAATATTTCTTGAATCTATATTCTTTTCTCCAATATTATTCCTACTGCCTTAATTAATTTACACACTTATTATTTTTTGTATTGACCAAAATCTTCTGAAATGGTTTTTACCTCCATTTTTGCCTGACTGAAATAAGTTTTCAATACTGCTATTGATGGTTATAGTTTCAGAATTGGAATAGACAGACCTGGGCTTACATCTTAGGCCTACATTGACTATCTGTTTGCTCACAGATAAAATATTACGTAGCTCTAAATTTTAGTTCTTCTCATAATTGAAGTGTGGAGAATAATGACTGCTTCTCAGTACCATTGCAAGAATTTAGTAATTATATGTAAGTAAAGATTTTTCTAAGTTCCTAATACGGAGTATGTATTCAATAAATATGTATCATTTGTGCCTGTCTAAACAATTAATTTGACTGGTTTCTATCTTAAATTAGAAATTATACCAACTTAGTATGTAGTAAAAGGCACTCTATGATCTGGTCTCTGCAGAAACTGTGGAGTTTATGTAGTGCTAAAAGACATTGGAATTCCAAGTGCCCAGAGCATGAAGTCTATGTTAAACACTCTTTTCATTAAGTGTAAATCTAGACAGGACACAAATGAGATGTAGAAATACTGTAACTCTAGAGTGAGAGCTGCATGCACTCTTACACAATCTAAAGGAAGATGCAGAAATAAGAGAAAAAAAATTTTTTAACAAAAGCATAACTAGAGATGATAAATATGAGAATTAGCAGGCAAAAACATTAGCACAGTTATTACAGTTATATTGAACAATCAATGACTTAAATTTAAATACGAAGATGAATATAATGTGTGAGTAAATAGCAAATCTGAATAGAAATATCAAAATTATGAAAAATTCAAATGGAAATTTGAAGTCAGAAAAATATGATCTAAAATTTTAAATAAATTACTAAATGGGCTTAACAAAAACACAAAGCAGAAAACTATGAGCGCATTTGAAAACACAATAACAGATTCTATGCAACATAGATAGAAACCAAGCTATACCAAGTGAACAGCATCACTATCCAGTGTTTTCATATCTAATTATCTAAATATATGATTTTGAATGAGAAGATAGTGAGGCATAGAAAATGGTAAAATATTGAGATTAATTGAAAGCTAGCCACCCATAAGCCCAAAAAATATAACAAACTGTAAGTTGAATAAACTAAAAACAAAACAAAACAAAAAACACACCTAGGCACAATATAGTTAAATATACAAAAGCTAAATAAAAAAACCTTAAACAGCCACATGAAAAACATAGATTATTTATAGGACATGAAATATAATGTCCTATCATCAGAAACATCACATGTCAAAAAAGCCCACTAAAACCAGAATATATTTAAAATAATGAAATAAAATTACTATTAAACTAGAATTTAATATTCAACAAAATACTCTTCAAATATGACAAAAAAATTTATATTAACAAAAGTTGTAACAGTTTAACACCAGGAGACCTGCAATATTAGAATATATATATATTAAAAGAAGTTCTTCAGGCTGATTTTAAATTATATCAGGTAGAAAATTAGATATATGAAAAAAAAATAATGCTAATGGCAAACCTGTGGATAAATATAAAAGAAATTCTGTTTACTAAAAATATAATGAATTATGAAAATAAAAACAAAGCATAATGGGGTTTATAACATATAGAGGTAAATTGTATGACAATGATATGACAAACAATGAGAAGGCTCACGGAATGATACTGTTGTAACATTCTTATAGCTATGTAAAGTAGCTTAATATCAATTTGAGTTAACTACAATAATTTTAATCCTAAGGGAACAATTGTGACAAATAAAAGCAACGATATGCAAATAAAGTCCAATAGAGAAGATTAAATTTATATATTTATGTACTCAAAGGTATAAAAAAAGATTAAGAAGCAGAATGAACAATAGGACAAATAAATAACAAAATGCTAAGAGGTCAACTTAAAAAAATACCAATAGTTACAAAAATTGAAAAGGAACTAAATATATTTTATAAAAGACACACACTGTAAGTCTGGATAATAAAGCGAGACCCTACTATAAGCTCCCGAACCAAAAAAATATAGTAAATTAGATGACACCGATAAGTTATGAGTAATCTTTTAAAAAAATCTGTCCTACGGCAAACATGCATCATAGAAAATACTGGAGTGGTTACATTTGTATCTTAAAAAATGAACTTCAGGCCGGGTGTGGTGGCTCACATCTGTAATCTCAGCACTTTGGGAGGCTGAGGCGGGTGGATCATGAGGTCAGGAGATCAAGAACATCCCAGCTAACACGGTGAAACCCCGTCTCTACTAAAAATACAAAAAATTAGCTGGGCGTGGTGGCACACACCTGTAATTCCAGCTATTTGGGAGGCTGAGGCAGGAGAATTGCTTGAACCCAGGAGGCGGAGGTTACAGTGACCCCAGAAAGTACCATTGCACTCCAGCCTGGGTGACAGAGAAAGACTCCATCTAAAAAAAAAAAAAAAAAATGAACTTCAATACAATAATATGACCAAAGATAAAGAAGATAATTTTATAATGATAACCTGACTAATTCATCAAGAAGATGTAGAAATCTTAAATATGTATGCACCTTAAAATACAGCTTAAATTAAATAAAGCAGAAACAGAGAATTCAACACAAAAAGACACTTCCACCAAAATAATTGGAGATACTGGCACTTCTCCTGTAGTAATTGATAGAAAAAAAGCAGACAAAAAAAAAATGAGTAAGGTTATATAGGACCTGAATCAATTCTATCATCCCATTAAACCTAACTGGCATGTGTAAGACAGTATACTGAACAGAAAAATATGCACTCTTTGAAAGTTCATAAGGAGCATTCACAGAGACTGCAAACTGAGTCACAAAATATTCCAAAAACTTTAAAAAAATAATTCAGAACATGCTCTCTTAGCAAAATGACATCAAGGGAGAATTAACTAACAAATTCATATACTTGAAAAAGCAACAAATATTTGAAAATAAAGTAACACTTTTGAATTACACATGTATCAAAGATACAGGAGAAATGTTAAAATATCTTGAATTAAATTATCTTAAAATTACAACAAATGTAAGTGTGTAAAGTAAATCTTAAGCAGTGTTTATTGTTTAGAAAAATTTGTGAAATTCAACTTAAGTTGTGTCTATTGTTTAGTTTTCAAAAAGTCTTTTAAACAGTTGGATCTTGAAAACACTTAGAAAATTTATAAAGTCCTAGCTACACTGATAAACCAAAAAATAAAGCACAATTTACCACTGTTAGGAAAAATGAGAGAACATAAATCTTACAGAACTTAAAATATAATAAATAAATTTTATGAACAACTTTATGCCAATAATTTGACAACTTAAAAAAGGCATTTAATAAGCAAACTTCCAAAAATCAACAATCCAGAAAGGATTCTAAAAGCAGCAAAAGCAAAAGATAAAATAACACACTGTGAAGCTCCAATACATCTGGTAGCAGACTTTTCAGTGGAAATCTTACAAGCAAGGAGAGAGTGGTGTGAACCCCTAAAATTTGAGACAGATCTCAGTTAATTTAGAAAGTTTATTTTGCCAACATTGAGAATACACACCTGTGACACAACCTCAGGAGGTCCTGACAAAGTGTGTCCAAGGTGATCAGATCATAGCTTAGTTATATATATATTTTTAGGGAGACATGAGACAACAATCAATATATGTAAAATGAACATTGGTTTGGTCCAGAAAGGAGTGGCAATTTGAAGCAGGGTGGGGGCTTCCGGGTCACAGGTGGGTGAGAGAAAAACGATTGCATTCTTTTGAGTTTCTGATTAGCCTTTCCAAAGAAAGCAATCAAATATGCATTTATCTCAGTGAGCAGAGGGATGACTTTCAATGCAATGGGAGGCAGATTTGCCCTAAGCAGTTCCCAGCTTGAATTTACTTTTTAACTTAGTGATTTTGGGTGACCAATATATTTTCCTTTCACATTTCCCCTGTTTTCTTTTATTAAATCTTTTGGAGAAAGCATTTTAGAAGAAAATGAGTATTTGGTCTCAGATTTCATCCTCTCTCTCATGGCTAAGATGGTTTATTCCTAGACAGGTAGGTCCGTAGTTATTAGGAAAGGTCATTTTTAGAAGACTGTGGTCTCATGCCCTGTGAGAATAAAATAGGGGGAGAGAAGGGGCCAGCCTTCAGGCAACAGCGTTGCAAGATGGCAGCCACCATGGGCTAGGGAGTAACAGTCCCTTACAATTTCCGTCTGTTGGACGAACTCGAAGAAAGGAGTAGGAGATGGCACAGTTAGCTGGGGTCTAGAAGATGACGAAGACATGACACTTATAAGATGGACAGGGAAGATAATTGGGCCTCCAAGGACAATTTATGAAAACCAGGTACACAGCCTGAGAATAGAATGTGAACCTAAATACCCGGAAACACCCCCCTTTGTAAGATTTGTAACAAAAATTAAAATGGAGTTAATAGTTCTAATGGAGTGGTGGACACAAGAGCCACATCAGTGCTAGCAAAATGGCAGAATTCATATAGCACCAAAGTTGTCCTGCAAGAGCTTTGGTGCCTAATTATGTCTAAAGAAAATATGAAACTCCCTCAGTCACCTGAAGGACAGTGTTACAGCAATTAATCCAAAAGAAAAACCACAAGCCCTTCCCTTTTCCCCCCATTCGATTTAAGCAGTCTTCATTTTCCAGAGTAGTACATTTTCCAGATACATCTTGTAGACCTCAAAGTACTGGAAAGAAAGCTCCCATTCAAAGGAAATTTATCTTAAGATACTATAAATGATACTAATTTTTTGTCCACTTGAAATATATAAGTTGTGCTATGACAAATCATCATGTCAAGTGTAACCACTGTCCCCATAGTTGAACTTCTGGGATCAAGAAAGTCTATTTAAATTGATTCCCATCATAACTGATGGGGCACATCTAACTCAACTGTGAAAAGACACATCACACAATCGCCTTGCTGCTGATTACATGGCCTGGGGTCTCTGCCTACCTACTACCTCCCACCCTCCCTGCAACAACAGCCCTCTAGCCTGGGGGGCCTGTAGAGTAGATGTGAAGGTTTCAGGTCACAGCCTGTGGGACTACTGCTGGGTGTGTAGGGTGCTTCACCTGCACCCCTGGTTTCTTCGAGTCTTAAATGATGCCCCTTCCAAGCCATCATCCTCTCCCTAAGCTCCTCCACTCCTGCCCTTGGCCAAAGCATAGATTGTAACCCCTCCGCTACCCTCTGAGATTAGCTTTCAGTGAGGAATTCAGGGCTTTCCCCATATCTTCTATCCCCTACCTTTATTAAGGGGTGCACTTTTTCTTCCCTCCTCCTCAAGCTGCTTTTTGCACCATCACCACCCAACACCTTCCATGACACTTCCTTGCTTTGGCCAGAAGCCATCAGACAAGGATGGAAAGACCCTCTGATTTCCCTTGTTTAGTTTCGGAACCATACTTATTCACTTTCCACCAACCTGGGAAATGAATATTGGGTCCTCAGCCCTGCCACCCTCTGCTGTCATCAGCTAATGCACTGTTTTTAGCTCAGGTTTTTATAAGGTGGAAAGAATAGTCACTGGGGTTACTCAGACCTGCCAGCTCTCAGAGTCCTTGGTGGTTAAACTTGGAGAAAGACCACATGAAGACACTTGCAAGTACACATGATCCCTGTGAATTGTTTTACTTTCCTGTAATTGCTTTTGCATTTAAAAATTGAAGAAGTTGACTAGGCATGGTGGCTCATGCCTGTAATCCCAGCACTTTGGGAGGCTGAGGCAGGTGGATCACCTGAGGTGAGGAGTTCGAGACCAGCCTGACCAACATGGTGATACCCCATCTGTACTAAAAATACAAAATTAGCTGGGTGTGGTGGCACATGCTTGTAATCCCACTACTTGGGAGGCTGAGGCAGGAGAATTGCTTGAACCCAGGTGGCAGAGGTTGCAGCGAGCTGAGATCATGCCATTGCACTCCAGCCTAGGCAACAAGAGTGAAACTCTGTCTCAAAAAAAAAAAAAGAAAAAGAAGAAGTTTTAAACAGGGCTTTTATTTGGTCATACTTGCAATACATTGGGGTCTAGTTTGGAATCTGACAACTGGAACAAAAAGAACCTTGAATCTGGTGCATGCCTTGGTTTTGGTGCTGCTGCTGCTTCTCAAGTTCCTCAGCAGGGATTAAGAAAGAACCTAGCGTGCACAGCAGATCCCCAAAATTGGGGGGATTGAATTGCTGTCTTTCCACTTTCTGTTCAGGACCACTAAATGCTGAAATGTGGATGCATACCAAAATAAAAGCAATTTGTTGTGAAAAAAAACAGGCGGAGAAAGGGAGAAAAGTAATAACAAACAAAAGAACAATTCTGGAAAATCAATATAGTCCACAATACTCTGAAGTCCATATATCAGTAAGCAGTTATGAAAGTGGCTTATGTACATAAATAGGTTGTTGTTATTTTCTTCTGAAGATTAAGTTGTCTAGCTTCAGTTCTCAGGGATTTATGAAAGCACAGCTTAGCTTTCAGTGCTTTCAAATGAATAAAAATGCAAAAAAGAAGAAAAAAATGAATATGTTATTTGCAGATTGTAGCCAGTAAAAAGAATTGGGTCCAGACTGTAGAAAATAAAAACATTAGGCAAGACTAGAATCTAACAACAGGTGTACTATAGTTTTTGAAACATAATTTTTCTCTCTCCAGTTTCCCATTTTTGCTAAAGACAAATCATGATAGAACTGGTTTGCTTTATTATAATTTGCCCAATTATTTGTATAAAGTGCAGTCATAATTATTTTTTACATACATATTTTTTAATTCACTTTGATGGAACTTTATTCCATAGAAGAAATCTCAGATAAGACTTTGTTAAAGCCAAATCCAGTCATGGATTTGTACCATTAGTACCTATTAGTTAGGTGAATTTCCTCTTTTCTTGAGGTTCCATGACAAACCTAGGGCTTTCCGGCCTGTCAGAAAGTGACATTCTTTATTTACCACAGGTCAGAAACCCTGTACAGGGACTGTGTATATAAAATATGAGGCCAGTTTCTCCAAGGGCTTTATTGGCTCCATAAGTCAAGTTTGATTCCTTAAAGGGAAGCACACCATTCCATTCAAAGCCTTGGTAAAATAACCAGTTTCTCTAACTGTGTCCTGTTACAATTAAAAATAGATTCTTATTACACTTATGCAAATAACTGTATTGCCATAAGTTAAGAATACTCACAAATAGTTTCCAAATTCTGCAGAAATCAGGTCGAGAGAAACAAATATGCCCCAAATTTTGTCCTTAGGAGTAAAATAAATTGTTAAAAGCTATCAATAACTCAAAAGAAAAGTTTTGAGACCTGAAAAACAAAACAAAGAATCAGAAACATTTTAAGCACAAAGTCAAAAATATTAGTTCAGTCCATATAGTTCATTCCTTTTCTGCTTGATACTCATGAACATTTTAGCTCTCCATGAGTCCTAAAAGTTTTTCCTCTATTCTGATGTCACAATCTCCAAAGTTATCAGAAACCTGCATTCAAGAGCACCCGTTAGAGTTTTATAGCTTATTATAAAACCCCTTCTAAAGAGGAACAAAACAAGACAACAATTGTCTGCAGATGACAAAAATTTTAGGGCATCCATAGTCAAAGACACAATTGACAAGGAAATTTGTTACCTCTATGGCACACAATAATTTTAACATAACAATTATGATAATTATTAATAATATACCCTAAGTTATATCAGAATTACAGGAGTTTTCCATAATTTTGGAACACATACCAAAAACATATTTATATAAATACAGCTCAAAGAAAACCAAACATCATTTCATATTTGACAATACTTTCTGTATAATTTTTATACTAAATAAGACAAATTATTTCATTTTTGGACTTTAGGGAGAGTAAATCTTAAAGGATTAATTAGGCCAGAAAAAGATATAGTTTATAATTTGATTTCAGAAAGTTTGTCTAATAGCAAAGGTTTAAAACACTTAATATTACAAAATAAGATTAGAGGTTATGGTAAAGTAAATCATTCATTTAAACAAAGTGATAACTCAAGGATTAAAAAAAAGAAGGCAAAAACCTTCATTCTTTGAGAGAGGAGACTTAATTTTCCAACAGTATTCCCTAATAAAAAACAGCATAAAGTCCATTAAATTTGTTTTTCAAAATTTTATAAACAATCTATAAAATTTTAATTTTGATGAAAAGATATAACTTTCATAAGCCTTTTATAATCTTTATAACCTTTATTAAGGAGTTGGTTAATACTTTAAGAAAACCTTGTTAATCTGACACAGAGGCCCATATGCTGGTCTTGCATCAGTGTGCCTTTGACATTAATGATTAATTTATAGAGAAACTGAACTGATTTTATCTTTCAAAATCGACCCTTACAATCTCATATGCCCACCTCTTCCATGATAGTCCCTGGGACTTCAGGAGTCGAATAGCTTTAGTTTTTGGCCCTGTGTCTCAGGAATGCAGTTTATTTTGATTGGCTTCTTCTATGAGGCCTTCAGATGAGGCTTTAATTGCTGTCAGTGTTAAGATTTAGCTAGACTTGGTGTTCTTTTTAGACCCAGGAGTCAAAAGCCCTGTAATTCAATGTCACAAGGACCTTAAAAGCATATGTAGGAAAATACACAGATGCAATATCCTTAATTTAAAAGAAAATTAAATCTCAGCTTTTTTCTAAGCAAACCAAACTTAATAATAATGGTATAGGAATTGCTTTGATGAAACATAAATCCTGTTAGGCCAGCTAACAAGAGACAAGAGAAAACACTTTCTGCAATGCAGAGAATATTATGTTGGGAAAAAACATTTCCTTTAGACCTTTAAGAAAACTTACCTTTTAAAAGAGGAGAGAAAGCCAAAAAACAGCAAGATGAAATAAAAGTTGAATTTGGGGTTAGAAAAAGTTAAAATCTCTTGTAATTTATTAAGAGTAAATAAAACCCTTAAGAAAATTTTATTGTTCTAACCGATAATTTAGTGTATATAGAGGTTTTTTTCCATCAAGTCCAATCTCTAGAAAGAGTGTTATAATTTTCCTTTAAGTATAACCAACCTGATCAAATAAAAGTTTTTAAAATAAACCCTCTTATTGTGACTTACAGATACCTTTAATGACATGCTTGGACTTTCTGGTTTGTCCTGAACATCTGTCTTTCTGAAACAACCAGTCACTTTATTTTAGGACTAAATTTACCATACAAAATTCTTTCTCATATAAAATTATTTATCTTTAAGCTTTCTTACCACAAAAAACTCTTTATTTTTATAAATTTCTGTACATTTTTCTTATTTCCTGGTTCCTTTACCTTGTTTTATACATCACTTTAAAATAAGTTTTGAAATAGACAAAACTTATTCACCCTTTTTAAAAAGGACACAATTTTTTTAGCAAGTTCAAGTTTTCCTACAATATATTTTTATTGGAAAATACCCAAATAATGAAATATCTATTATTTAATTTAATAGAACATTACATTCTAAATAATGACAAGTTAGTTTATAGTTTAGCTTTGAAACAAAGATGATAACAGTCCTTTCCCAAAACAAACCTCCTTACTGCCTATGGACTAGACTGCCTAAAGCCACAAAATTAGAAGGTACAGTAATTTTACTAAATAATTCAAAATGTAGCCATTTATATTAAACTAATATCAATGTCTTATTTATTAAAAGTTACACAAGCAAAGATTATTCTGTTTTAGGCTGGGTTTATAGTTTTGTAACCCCTGTGCCAAATTTTGATACCTTATAATATTTCAAAGGGATAAGTATGAAGTTGATTGATTAATAAATGCAAACAAAAATGTATGCTAGTAATTCTTAAGACATTTCTAACATTACTTTACCAATAACTTTAAACCTAACTTAGTTCTTAAAGATTTTACTTAAGTTACATAAACTCAGAAAAGCAGTTGACTAGTCTTTTCTTCTTTCCTGATAAGTATTTTATTTGAATGCTTTTATTTTCTCAAGCCAGTTAATTAGAGCTTTTTAATATATTTTCAGTAGTGAAACATTGTGTACACAACACATAAATATAGAGATATATTAGGCATCCTGATAGAAGTATGTCTTATAAATTCTTAAGACCTCCTTATTTTTCCTATTTTAGACTTGCCAACTCTTGATAACCTGTTTTCTTACCCTGGCAGTTGTCAGCTAAATAGTCCTAAATCTGCATATTAAAGAAAACAACTCAGGTGAAAATCAGATAGCAAAATTCACATCATAAGGTATGAAGAGAAAGTCTTGTTAGCTAGAGGGAAATTAAAATGGATTTAATTGCCAATTGAACAGAAAATTACAGAAATCTAGGCCTCCAAATACACACACACACACACACACACACACACACACACACACATACACATACCCACTCACAAAGATTCTATAGCTTTTATTTCAGTACTTTATCCATGAGATAAATACAAATTCACTGGCTTGTGAAAAACAAACAAGCAAACAACAACAAAAAAAACCTGTTAGATCCAAACAGTGGTTTTTATCACAGTAGAAAAATAAACAGCAGATTTAAAGCAGGCAGAAAAGAAAATAGAGAAAAAGTGGACACAGGAACTCTATAGTTTGCAGGTTGACCTTAGGGCTCTTCTTCCTTAATGTAAATGTGCACAAAGACTATATTACTTCAATTTTACTCTGGCAAGTATAGGTGCCATAAAACCTACAGCGTGCCCCAAAGGGGGTCATCCTCCTTGTTTTCTAGATCTCAGCTCACTGCAACCTCTGCCTCCCAGGTTCAAGCTATTCTCCTGCCTCAACATATTGTGCATGCAGCCTCTTGCAAGTGCTGGCAGGCCACTGTGCATGTGGACAGCCTACTCCAAAGGAATAATCAAGGGAGGAGAAATGCAAACCCCAGATCCATGCCAAGGTAAAAAACTCTAAGTCCAGGGCTAATCAGGGCACTTGGATCTCTCAAGTCATCCTCTTGGCCCTCTTCCAAGTGTACTTTGCTTCCTCTAATTTCTGCTCTAAAACTTTTTAATAAACTCTCACTCCTGCTATAAAACTTGCCTCCATCTCTCCCTCTACCTTAAACCTACTTCTACCCCTAAATTCTTTCCTCCAAAGGGGCAAAGATCAAGTTTGCTGCATACCTGTATGGGTTTGCTGTTGATAACGTACTTTGTTGTCATTTGACTGGAATATGTTCCCAGTGGTAGGACACCTTTATGCCTCACCTTCTTGGACTGGAGGCGTTCAACACTCACATGCAGTTTTCTTCTCTTTTTGCTCTCCTGCTTACTAACCACCACTTCCCCACCCCTAGAATGATTTCTCTCAGTGACAGTGGTTTTGCTTCCCCTGGCTGATCTCTCAGCTCACCCTGACAGATGGCTCATGGTGATGGGAAGGAACTTGGAGTCTGCACTGAGTAGACCTCAGACACTAATGGCCCTCCTGGACAGGAGGCCCATGAGAGTGGTAGGGCTAAAGGCTAAGACCATGTGATGCCTGGGATTTCCTCTGCTTCTTCAACTAAAATTAACTATTTCCCAAAAAGTGCACATCACCTTCTTTCCTGTTTTCTCTGTCTATATCCTGAAATGGCCTTGTACATCTGCTGGACTCTCTACCTTGGGAAAAGTCTGCCTTTTCTCTGCTTTCACTTTGCATGCTGTATGACTTCTTTTTCTTCCTTAAACATAGCACTCCCTGTTTGTTATTTGTGCACCCATAGCTCTTGCTGTATCTGCCTGGCAGCCTGGAGACAAGCTGCATTGCAGATATACCCTGAGATTTATACTTTGTTTACCAGATCAGATAACCTCCAACCCTTCCTCTGTCTGCTGACTCTTTGCCAGGAAAGACACTAATCAGAATCCCAGCTCTACCACCTTCTAATGACTTTCTGTATGTTGTTTGTCCCTATTGTGCTCCAAGGCTAAGATTTTCAGTTTCTTGTGAAGTGGTTCGTCCACCTGTATAGGACCTCACTCTGTGGCCTTTTAAGGACCCCACCAACTTGCTTTGTTTGTTTAGTTAGCACCCCTTTGAGAAGAAATAAAATGCTTTTATTGCAATTTGTGAGCCCTTATCTCAAGCCCCAAGTCCGTCAGAGGTTCCTCCTTTACATCAAGAAGGCAAATAAAAGTTGCCCTCTCTAATCCAAGGGTTACTGTTTTTTTGAACATATAAAGGCTTTCCATGAGTCTCCCTCTTGTTTTCTCCTGCTTCTTTCTTTAGCAGAGGGATTGTCCTGTCCGTTTAAGCATTTGTTCTGCATGTTATCCCAGGAGGCAAAGGAACCCCGAATATAAATTTTCCTCCATTCCTTTAACTATTTCCATGCCCTTCTCAATATGCATCAGAACCTTCAAGGTTATATTCGAAGGGAGGGAAGTCCAGTCCCCTTGCAGCAGTTAGCTGAAAAACATGATTCTCATCTACTTAAGGAACACGGGAAATGGGAATATGAGAAAAGAGATAATCATTTTGTTGCAGAATGCTCCAAACGAGAGTCATTATAAGGTCATACAGACAGGTAATACAGGGTGACCCAAGGCCACAGGCACAAAAGACCAAAGTACCCATAGGACATGGATGAAGTAGGTGAAGGCTGATCCCAGGCTACAGGCACAGAACAGATTACCATAGAACAAAGATGAAGGCAAGGTTAGGTGTACCCCAAAAGTCCAGTTCATTCCAGAACCCCAAGGATGAATAGGGGGCCCCGTGTTCACACTGGTATATTCTCTGTTCTCAAGTGGGTAATTGCACCTCCATAAGACAAGAGGGGACCAAGCTTAAGGGTATCCAGTGAGACCAGTTCATTCTGGAACCCCCAGGATGAATAAGGGACACCCTGTTCAGGAAAAGACAATAGAAGAATAAGAGGGAATGATTTCTTTTTCTTTTTTCTCCTCTGTTCTCTCTTCGCAGATGGGTAATCATGTCTCTGTACTACAGGACATGCCCCTTGGTTGCATCCTAAAGAACTGAGAAAAGTTTGACCACCAAGCCCTAAAGAGGAAAAGGCTAATGTTTTTCTGTAACATAGCCTGGGTTGAATACAAGCTCTGGGACCAGGAATCATAGCTGGAAAATGGACAATTTTAATACAATCCATCAACTAGATTTGTTTTGCCACCCCATGGAAAATAAATAGCCCTTATATACAGGCCTTCATGACCCTAGGAAATTGTCCTGACCTTTATCAGGTTTGTAAAATAAATCCAGTGATGATAGCAGCCGTAGTCAGAGAGCCCCCTCCAATTGGTTTGGGAGACCCCTTATTGGGTTTGCACAGAGTTCAAGCCCCATAAAACCTAAGTGTAAAGCTTAGCTCAAACCCCACTGACCCTTTTACTGCATTATATCCAAGTCTCCTAGTCCTGGAGGCTTCCCCTCCCTACCCAAGGTTATCCTCTGGCCACCACTCCCTTAAGTTATGCTCGTTTCAGGAGGGTTGCAGCCCCAGTGGATCCACTAGAGTTCAGACTCCATTCACTATGCAGGACCTGAGCCAAATTAAAATGGGACAAGGGAGATTTATAGAGGACTCTGAGAAACACATCAAAGGGTTCCATAAACTGGAATTAACATTTGAAGTCACCTGCAGGGACCTATTAGTCATACTGGGGCAACCTCTGTCTAGAGGCAGAATGTGACTCCATTATGGAGGCAGCCCAGCAATTTGCAAACACGATGCAAATGACTGACCCTGGTGGCTACCCTGTGGGAATCACTGCAGTTCCCCAGGTCGATGCCAGCTAGGATTACAATACCCATGGGAGTATGTGGACAAAGAACCACTGTTCCTCTGTCTCATAGAGGGAATGAAGGCTAGCAGAAGAAAGCCTGTGAATTAAAGCAAATTGTCCTTAATAGATCAAGACCCTCTTGAAAACCTCACTGCTTTCCAAGAGAGGCTACAAAGAGCCCTAATAAAACATACAAACCTAGATCCAGAGCCACCAGAAGGACAACTAGTACAAAAGAACAATTTTCTAACTCAGGAAGCTCCAGATATTCAGAGGAAACTCCCAAGACAAGTACTGGGCTCCAACACCCATATGCCTGACATCCTCAAAATAGCTTTCTCTGTCTTTTACAACTGGGACCAGGAGGAAAAGGAACTTTCTCAGGAAAGGGAGAGGCAAAAGTAAAAGTGGCAGCTCCAACTGATGGCTGCCCTGCAAGTCTGCCAGCCTCCTCCATGTTGCCTTCAGAATATCCTTCCAGGTAACTGCCATCAATGCCGGAAGCCAGCCCACTGGAGGGCCAACTTCCTCAGTGGGATAAACTGCATGGCTTGTCCCCTCTATCACAAGCTCAGCCACTGGAAATGAGACTTTCCTGAGGACTGAAGGGTGCCCAGGACAGAATTGCAACCCCTCATGGCTTTGAGCTGAAGGGGTCCTTCCTACACTCCAGTTGGCTCCTGGATTGAACATCACTATTGAAGGAATGGAGCCAAGGGCTCTTTGAATGTGGCAGGAAGGACAATAAGCTTACCTATTTTCCCAGGCAATTATCCTCCAAATCCTGCCAGGTGATGGGGGTAAATGGGGTTTCCATAACCCAGAGGTTTATTCGTTCTCTGTGCTGCCGTGGCGGAAAACTGTCTTTTCTCATTTGTTTTTAGTGATGCCAGAATGTCTTATGCTCCTTTTAAACAGAGATATTTTGTTCAGACTAGGGGCTCCATTAACCTTTCCTCCAGAGCCAACACCCCCTTTTTCAAACGCAATCTTATGTCTCAAGGAAACCACACACAAAGATGAACTACCCACGGAGCTTCCCATTAATCCAGCGGTTGGGGCCTCAGGAATACCAGAAAAGATCATAATGTAGTAATTCAGCTCAAGAATCCTTCTAGTTACCCTTGTAGAAGTCAGCTTCCTCTTCAGACAGAGGCCAAAGAGGGACTTCAGCCCCTTATTGAAAAAGTTTTAAAACATGGATTATTAATACCCTGTAACTCACACTGTAATACTTCCATCTTACCTGTTAAAATGAGCAAGAGAGAAAACAAGCTAGTCCAGGATCTGCAAATTATAAATGAAGCAGTAGTCTCAACAAACCCAGTGGTCCCCAACCCTTAAGTAATTGTAGAAGTACCTCCAGATGCTTAGTGGTTTTCAGTCTTAGACCTCAAAGACACTTTCTTTTGTATCCCCTAGACTCATTCTTCCAAACTCTATTTGCATTTTAGTGGACAAATAAAAAAGGAAGGAGTCAATAGCTCACCTGGACAGTGCTTTCACAAGGTTTTAGAGATAGTTCCCATTTGTTTGGGCAAGCCTTGACTAGAGCTTTGCAGGATCTAATGCTTGAGTGGGGAGGGCATCTCCTACAGTATGTAGAAGACCTGTTAATCTGCTCCCCCACAAGAGAGTTGGGAATCCAACATCTAGTCCAGACACTAAATTTCCTCACAGACAGAGGGTACAAGGTGTCCAAGGCCAAGGCACAGCTTCTAAGACAAGATGTCCAAAACCTGGGGATAATCTTGACCCCCAAAGTATGTAAGCTCTCCCAGAATAAATACAGGTCATCCTTAGAATACCTATCCCAATCACCTGAAAGCAACTTTGTGCCTTTCTGGGGATCACAGGATTTGCAGGCTTTGAATACTGGGGTATGGTGGTATTGTTAAATCCTTTAATCAGGATCTAAAAAAGGGTCTAATAGGGACCCACTTATCTGGGAAAAGGATCAGGAGCAAGCCTTTAGGTAGCTAAAAACTGCCCTGTCACATGTCCCAGCCCATGGGCCACCCATACTAGCCAAACTAGGCTTTTGTCACTGAAAAACAAGGTTTAACTCAAGGGGTTCTAATTTAAACCATCAGGTCAATACAATGTCCTGTTGGTTACTTTTCAAAGAACCTAGACGTAGTAGCATAAGGTTGGCCACATTGCTTCAAAGTAGTGGCTGTAGCAGCCCTCTGCTTGAGGAAGTCCTCAAACTCACCATAGGACAGTCAGTTTGGCTCCTGAGTTCCTACCAAATAGGCACCTTATTAGACATAAAAGGGTCATGATGGCTCACTGACAACAGATTGCTGAAGTGCCAAGTCTTGTTGTTAAAAAACTCACAGGTAACAGTTGAGTAGTATTCCACCCTTCACCCAGCCTCCTTACTCCTTACTACCAGGAGACAATAAGTCAACACATTTGTGTTGTGAGACACTTAACCAAGTTTATGCCAGCCATGAAGACTTAAAATATCAGCCAATAGATAATCTGTATGAAATATGGTTTTCAGATGGGAATAGCTTGTCAGAAATGGAACCAGACATACAGGTTACACTATACTGTGCCTTCACCAAGTCACAGAGGCTAAAGCTCTTTCCCCAGGGACCTCAGCACATCTAGCCAAACTTATCATGTTGATCAGAGCCCTAAAACTAGGGGAAAGAAAGAGAATCTACACAGGTTCCAAATACACCTATCTGGTGCTTCACACCCATGAGGCTATCTAGGAGGAAAGGGATACCTAACAGCTCTGAATACTTCTATTAAGTACAGGCCCAAATCTTAGAGCCACTAGAGGCTCTTCATCTGCCACAGGAGGTGGCAGTAGTACACCACAAAGGACACCAGAAAAGCTCTAATGAAACTGCACAGGGAAATAGTTCAGTAGACCAAAAAGCTAAAGAGGTAGCTATCTCAAAAGATACCCTCATGGGGGCCTTACTCCCTTCACTCCCCAATGAACTTCCCACTCTCTAATACACTAAGGAGAAAAATAGATTTGGCCACACAACATGGGTATCTAAAAGAAAATTAATGGATGGTACAGGTTGGGAGAACTTCTCCATCTACCTAAACCCTCCGAATGGAAAGTCATCAAGACTTGGCCACTTTGGAAAACACAGTCTAGGGAAAATTTGTAAAGGGGTGTTCAGTGGGAAGGGACTAAAGAAAACTATTCAACGGTTTGTCAAGCACCTTGTGCACCATAAATAATCCCCAGAGAGGGAAGCCCACTCCATTAATAAGCCCAGTCCAAAGGAGCAGTGCCTACCCTGGGCAGACCGGTAGATGAAATTCACTCAGCTCCCTGCACACTGCAGGTATAAGTACCTCTTGGTCTGTGTAGACACCTGCATTAGGATGGGCAGAAGCCTGCCCCACAAGGACTACCAAGGCACAAAAGATTACTAAATTTTTCCTAAAGGAACTTATTTTCCAGTTCAGGCTCCCCAGGTTATTGCAGAGCAACGGTGGTCCTTCCTTCATTTCCCAAGTGGCTCAACAGGTTAGTAGTGCCCTAGGAATAAAGTGGTACCTTCACTCTGCCTGGAGGCCACAATCTACAGGAAAAGTGGAAAGAACTAACCAAACCTTCAAATGCATCCTCTATATACTCTATCAGGAAACTGCACAGCCATGGCAGTACCTCTTATCCTTAGCCCTCCTCAGATCTGTGTTGCCCCTAAGGCTCCCTTGCAATTAAGCCCCTTTGAGGCCTCATATGAAAGGACATTCCTATATTTTGACTTCTTACTAGGTGAAGAAATTGCCACAATCACCCAGGTATGCCTCTTCTTTAGCAAGCTTCCAAAAGGCTCTCTGGGAATATGGGTTACAAACAAACCCAAAATTTGAAGGGAAAAAATACCCACTTCTGTATCCTCCAAGCTCACCAGATATCATTAAAGCTTAGAAGGATGGAACCTAAAATTCCCAACTAACTCCAGTCTGGAAGGGCTCGCTCACTATTCTATTATCTACCCCCACAGCCATTAAACTACCAGAGATTGCCAGCTATATACATCACACTCAAGTGAAGTCATGAAAAATCCCCAAAACACCAGAGCCAGAACCAGAAACTTCAGCTCCAGAATAGACTTGTGCTTTTCGGTATTTCCAATATTTAGACATTTCTCTTTGAAAATATAAAGGAAACTGGCCGGGCGTGGTGGCTCATGCCTATAATCCCAGCACCTTGGGAGGCTGAAGCAGGTGGATCACCTGAGGTCAGGAGTTCGAAACCAGCCTGGCTAACATGGCGAAACCCCATCTCTACTAAAAATACAAAAATTAGCTGGATGTGGTGGTGCATATCTGTAATCTCAGTTACTTGGGAGGCTGAGGCAGGAGATAATTGCTTGAACCCAGGAGGCAGAGGTTGCAGTGAGCCAAGATTGTGCCATTGAACTCCAACCTGGGTGACAGAGTGAGATTCTGTCTCCAAAAAAAAAAAAGAAAATATAAAGAAAACCATTTGATTGCAGCGCTAAAACACCTTAGAGACCACTACCTCATGAGTTTTCACATTCATTCAAAGAAAATCTACGCAATGATTATGTTGTTATTACAGAAACTCCACATCCTAAACATGTCTATTCTAATCTTTTATCACTTACCTGTACTTGATGAATTAACCTTAAAATATATGTCAATTAGCCTCAAAAGTTATTTTCCTGTTTACTCTAGACATACTGGATTACCAGTTTTCCATCAATAACCCACATAATGTGGTATCTATCAAATTACAGAAATATAAAGAATAATTATAAAAATTATCACAATGAAATTGGATCCAGTTCTGAAGAACTGTCCTGGACAAATTTTACATTACAAGCCACCAAGGATGACTTTAGTGTTTCAATTAAATAGACCCTTGAATGAATCTTCCCTGCTTTAGAGACCTAAAAGGGGCATAATATGGTCACCATTAAATATTCAGGATTTTTTAAATGATAAGTGAACTTCATAGCAAAAAAATTTTTTCTTTTACTTCAGATAAAGACGGTAAGTAAATGTGCTAATTAGCACCTTTTCAAGAACACAAGTATCCTTTCAATTTAGGGGTAAATTGATCACATTCCCTCTTAGGGGCCATTTGAAAGATATTTTTTCCTTCTTTTGCTCTTAATCTCTTCACAGAGATCCTACATAGTAGAGCTAATCACTATAAATTATAAGTCTATTCCTCCTCATTTTAAGTAATAGTATGCTCAAGCAATCATGACTTAGGTGCATATCAAAATGTCCATTCACATTACAATATACATCAGGTCCAACCATTTGACTGTTTCACAAACGTGTGCATGTGTATATCTTTCTATGTGTCTTTGTCTGCATAATATTATGTGACATATTTCAGGTTTTGGATAAATAATAACTATAAAATTTTTCTAAGTGTTAATGCTAGAGCACCTCCCTAAATTTACTTCTGCATACCAAGAGAGTTAAAGGTTTCCCAAATAATCCTCCATCATTTTATCACATTTCCTTGTAATTGAATCAATTATCTTTATAGTAAAAAAGCCCCATATAACTGCCTTCTCCTCGTTAAATATGAATCAATTATTTATAAAACTTCAGCTATAGCAGTAAAAAAGATAGGTCTGCAACATATTAGACAATTGATGATTATTTCACTTTGTAGTCATTTCTCTCTAATGTGACATTTCTGTAGACAGTTTGAACACACTTAAACATTTTCTTCACTTACAAGATCCTTAAGAGAGGCTTTTATGCCTTACAGTCACACAAAAATTGAAAAGGAATTGTCTGTATCACATAAATTCTGCAGGCTTTTCAAGGTCATCATGGAAAATTTTTCCCAAAGCCTCATAAAACTGTGCCTGTTACCTCTATTTACATAAACTCTATAATAGTGTGTATTATACTTTTGAGTAATAGAAAAGTTTGAACTCTCCATATTAAGTTGAAAAGTTTCTTCTTGTAATTTTGTAACACATTATTGACCAATTATGTACAAGGAATCTGGCACATTAACTAACGGCCCATTGTCTCACACTGTATCTGAACACTATCACTTCAACAATATTGGCTTCATTTAACTTCACAATGATATGCCTGCTATCCATGCAGGTAAGCAAACATTTTCAGTGTCTTCATTACAAAAAGCAATATCTCTTTATCGAAGGGCCACTTTTTTGGACTTGTAGAAATTAAGGCCCTTGTATCATGTAATACAACCATTTCTTTAATTTTCTCTAATAACCTGCAGCAATTGAATAATTTAAGAGAAATCCTTCCTCACCATTTAGATATGCAAATTTTACGTGAGATATTGTTTTACAAAATTTTAACTTTAATGACATGTTTAAAAATTTAAGTTTGAATATGGTATTGTGTTTATGTTTTCTGGAGGAGTACTTATCTTTTTGAGGAGCATATAGAATATTGACAGATTAAGTAATATAATGTAATATAATTTCTGAAATTGGTTTAATAACAATGTAAAAAGGGAAGTGACAACATCAGTGTGGGTATATATGAGACAAGAGTGCTCATGAGTTAATTGTTGGGGATGAGTTGGGGATGAGTTATGAGTACATCCAGGGCTTCATTATATTATTCTCCTTACTTTTATATATGTTTGAAATTTCCTGTAAAGTGTTTTATTCTGTTTGTTTTGTTTTTACTTCCATTTGGCAGGGTCAGTATTCTCATACTCCTGGTTCGGAAACAACAGTATCGACACGACCACCACATTAGAGGCTGTCTGAAGTTGACTGGATGCCCCACAAGCACCAAAAACAAGTGACAACTGGATTTAGTGAAAGAAGATCTGTTACATAAAGGAGGTTCATATTATTAAATAGATAACATCGGGAATACAAAGGCAAATGTAACAAACCTGAATGGCACAATAATGAAAACATTTCTTGTCTGTATCTTGACATGCACTTTGTAAGTATTTTTCCAAATTTTCTGACTATGTCATAACCCTTTTTTCTCGAAACCATAAAACTTGAACCACCTCTTCGATGTATGCACCATGTTGTGCTAGTCTGGTACCTTGCTGTATTCATCTTTGCTATAATGCAGTTCTCTTTCATTTAGTGTCTCTCTCTGTTTCCACTGCCAACTCCCTAATGTTGAATTAGCTGGTCTCATAATTAACTGACACAGTTCCATGTAAACAAGCAGTAAACCATTTTTATAACAGACATTTATTTTATTTCAATTCTTTTTCATTTTCATATTTCTATAAATTTAAGGGGTACAAATGCTGTTTTTTACATGAATGTATTGCATAGTGGTGAAGTCTGGGCTTTTAGTGTAACCATCACCTGAATAGTGTACATCGTAGCCATTGAGTAATTTCTTATTTGTCATCCTCCTCCCACCCTTCCAAGTCTTCAATATTTATTATTTCCACATTCTATATCCATGTGTACACATAATTTGTCTCCCATTTATAAACAAGAACATGTAATATTTGACTTTCTGTTTCTGAGTTACTTCTCTTAAGATGATAGCCTCCAGCTCCATCCACACTTCTACAAAAGACATGATTTCATTCTTTTAATGGCTGAATAGTATTCCAGTGTTTGTGTGTGTGTGTATGTGTGTGCATGTGTAGTTTGTGTGTATATATACCACGTTTTCTTTATCCAATCATCTGTAGATTGACATTTAAGTATTCTATGTCTTTGCTATTGTGAATAGTGCAGTGATACGTAAGCATAATATCTTTTTCATGAAATGATTTATTTTCCTTTGTGTAGACATCCAGTATTGGAATTGCTGGATTGAATGGTAGCTCTACTTTTAGTTATTTGAGAAATAGCCATATTGTTTTCCATAGAAGTTGTAATAATTTACACTCCCACCAACAGTGCACAAGTGTTCCCTTTTCTCTGCATCTTTGCCAACATCTGTTGTTTTTTGCATTTTTAATAACAGCCAATCTGACTGGTTTGTGATGATATCTCATTAAGGTTTTAATTTGCATTTATCTGATGACTAGTGATATTGAGTATTTTTTTCATATGCTTGTTGGCCATTTTTATCTCTTCTTTTGAAAAATGTCTATTTATGCCCTGTGCCCACTTTTAATGCTGTTGTTTGTGTTTTTGTTTATTTATTTCAGTTCCTTGTAAATTCTGGATATTAGTCCCTTGTTGGGTTCATAGTTTGTAAATATTTACTCCCATTTTGCAAGTTGTCTGTTCTCTGTTGATTATTTCTTTTGTTTTGTAGAAGATTTGAAGATGAAGTCCCATTTGTCTATTTTTGTTTTTGTTGTTTGTGCATTTGAGGTCTTGTATTTTTTGCCAAGACCAATGTCAGGAAGAGTTTTCCCTGGATTTCTTCTAGTGTTTTAATAGTTTCGGGGTTTTTTTTAATCCCTCTTGAGTTGACTTTTGTATAGGTTTTTTATTTGTTTCTAATATCCCAATAAAGATTTAGGTAAAAAAAAAAAAAAACTCAGGAAATTAATAGGACCTCTAGCTCTAAGAGCACATTTGGGGGAGGAAGAAAACAGAATTATTTCTCAGTCAAAGGCCCAGCATTCTCCTGCCTGCCAAACATGTAAGTTGGCATGCGTGACTAGTGCTTCCTGGAATGTGGTGCTCCTGTGGCCCACAGTGGCGCAGCTACCCTTGTCATCACATCGTAAACAAGGAAGCAGAAATCATTATATATATGCTATTAGCTCAGGAAAAGTATAAACCGTTAACTTGACAAGGTTTTTGTATTTATATTATGCATTAATACAGAAGAAGTTAACAACATAATCTTAACGAACATTTCTTTGGTTCAACATAATATAAATGAAAAATCTATAGATGAATTCAAAGGAATGCTCTTTAAGACTAGTTGTCTCTTATACACATCTAAACATTATTTAACACATTAACTCAGGAAATATTTATTGAGTGTCTCCCATGTGATGGGCAAGTTTCTAGGCACTGGAAATACAGTGGTAAACTAGGGAAACTAAGAAGTACCCTAATGGAACTTCTATTTTGTTAAAGAACTCAGACAATTCACTAATATAATCAACTTAATGCTTGAAGAATCACGTCATGAAAAGAGAGAAAGTTTTCTAAGGACATTAATTTTCAGCAAAGACATTTTAGAAATGCAAATCTAGGGAGCTTGAGATCTTAAGACTTAAATTTAAAGTTCTCTTTCTTACTTGTCTTTCTTCCTTGCTGCCATTTCTACATATCCTCTGAAAGATCCCTACCACTCCAAACTAGCATGTAGTTTCTACACCCAGGGCCTTTCAGCCATGGTTTCATTCCCAGTTTAATGTCCCCAGGGCAAATATGTCTCCTCTTTCTCCCTCACAGGTTTATATTCCAGGTTCCAGAATTTTGAAAGAGTCTGTGAACTACTTGACAATATATCCTCAAGAGACTTAATAACTTATTTTTTTAAGAAATACAAACTTGTTGGTTAAATTGAATTTTGGTTAACTGTGTGTATCCTTCTAAATTCCTATAATTTGTTATTGCAATCCCTGTTAAAGAAAAAAAATATTCTCACACTTGTTAAAATAGTAAGGAAGACATCATTCAAGACTATTGCAATAGGTGCCAAGATAATTGCAATAGAGGTCAAGATAATTGCAATAGGGAAGAGAGATGAGACTCAATGCCAAATACAGTAAAGATAGCTGGGGATGTACATCCAAAGAGCAGAGTGGGAAAATCAGTGGATGAAAAATTGCTAGGAGGAGACATTGAGGTTAGAGGGATTTTTGCTAACCCAACAAGAGGACCTTTGTAGAAGTCAGCAAACCAGGGTGATCAGATATTAATGGTGGAGAGATCCTTGCTAATTAAGCAAGATTTTTTGCTAAAACTGGGAGAGGCAGGTCAAAGACAGGGCCAAAGGAAGGGGCCTAGTTTGAAAGAAGGCTCGGAGGAGCCTGTCTACAGTTTAGCCAAGGACAGAGTTGTTGTCATACAGAATATGTCAAAGTATGCATAGAATTTTGAGTCACATCTGCTCTGAAGTTGAAACAAACAGGGACAATATAAAATATTGTTTCCCTCAAAATGCTACTACTTACAGGTAAACTAAAAAAAACATGTACTTAATGAGATCAGTAGAAATTCTAAGTTAAACAAATTCCTCTCACTTACTCAATAATATGGAATACCCTGGCAACTGTGCTATATTCTTCAGCATTTTCAGAAAATCACACCAGCCCTCAACAAGATCAAGCTGCATTTTTTTTTTTCAGATGCAAGGTCTCACATTGTTACTCAGGCTGAAGTGCAGTGGTGGATCAAATCTCACTGTAGCCTCAAACTCCTGGCCTCAAGTGATTCTCCTGCCTCAGCCACCCAAGCAGCTGGGACTACAGGCATGTGCCACTATGCCTGGTTAACAAGCATGTAACTGAAATACATATATATATATATATATATATATATATGACAGAGTCTCACTCTGTCACCCAGGCTGGAGTGCAGTGGCATGATCTCGGCTCACTGCAACCTCTGCCTCCCAGGCTCAAGCGATTCTAGTGCATCAGCCTCCCAAGTAGCTGGGATTACAGGCATGCACCAGCATGCCTGTAATTTTTGTATTTTTAGTAGGGTCACCATGATGGCCAGACTGATCTGGAACTCCTGGCCTCAAGTGATCTGTCTGCCTTGGCCTTCCAAAGTGCCGGGATTACAGATGTGAGCCACCATGTTCAGCCCGAACAATAATTTTTAAAGACTTATTTTAAATGTCACTATAATTCTTCTGTGACTTTTGCTCTATTATAGTAGACGAACTGGCTGGCTCTCTTGCTCATTTTTCCAAAGCAAAATATATGTGTGTGTGTGTGTATATATATATACACACACATACATGCATACATACATACACACACATATATACACACACATATATATACATACACACACATATGTATGTGTTTTTTTATTGTTTTATATATATAAAACAATATTTAATTATTTTATATATATAAAACAATATTTAATTATTTTATATATATAAAACAATATTTAATTATTTTATATATATATATATATAAAACAATTAAAAAAACTGATGGACTCGTATTTTGTCCACAACAAACCTATAATAACTTTTGTAAAACTGATGAAAAAAGGCCATCATTTTTTGTTTGCATTTGACAGGTGTAATGTATGCAGTTTACTAAAGTTTTTTGTTTGAGGAATATATTTTGACATACTGCATTTTATGAAGTGAGTATGTAAAACCCTTGTGCCCATTTCATGGTTCTATTAGATTGTAGTTATGAAAAATGAAAAAAAATAATATTTTAGCAATCCCGCATTTTATAAGAAAGAAAAACAAGTCTTATAAAACTTGGACGCATATTAAGAGGAGTAGATATAAAGTTTGGATAAGTAAAAGTAGAAGTGATTCCTTAACATATTTGCATTGTGAGTTTGGGTGCACTTGACATTGGCCTGTCTCTCTAAAGGGGGAGAGCAATTTTATCAAAGGCCCAAAGTGGAACCAAGGCAGTACATGTATAACTGGGTTCTGCTCCCACTTTTGCCAATCTGACTCAGCATCAAAACCACCTACAATGCTTTGTTACAAATGCACTTTCTGGACCCCATTATCAGTACATATTGAGCCAATAGTTTATTCTACACAGTCCACCAATGCAAATTTAGGAATAGCATCTTAGAACATAGGAAACCATTACATTTTAGAGTGAATAAGTGATAAATTGAAAAGATAGGTGCTTTTGATTTTATAGCAGAACCCCATATTTGGCACGTCAGGTAGAAATTTCTACTCAGAAACTCTGTGGAGAAGAGGGGCAGGAGGTTAATGATTTTTCTTCTTTTTGTTTATGCTGTTGTGTTTTTAAATATATTATTTGATACAAAACTGATGTGTAATATACGTGTTAAGTTTAACACAATAATACAACAATCACCTATAAGTCCACTAGAGATAACCACTCTACTAAATCTTGTGTTTTTACTCTTTTGCTGTTTTTATTACAGTTTTCTCACAAACGTATGTAGGCTTAAATAATGAAGTATTTAGGTAAGTTCTATAAAAACTTTGCCACACTGTAAATGATCCATGTTATTTTTTTTTGCCCTCAATATTATGCTTTTAAGACTTTTCTGTGTTATGTGCAGTAATATTTTATGGTCTGATTTGCAATATTCCACTCTGTGAGGAAACATTAATTCAATTGTGTTTTTTCTGGTTGTTGGACATTTGGGCTATTTACATCATTTTGCCATTGTGAACATTACTGCAATAGACATTATGGACGTGTATCCCTTTGGATCCCCATACTCTCCAGGACTTGATATTATCAGATTGCTTAGTAGTTTGCCAATTACAGGTAAATTACATTTTACTGCGGTCTTAATATAAATTTCTTTGATTACTGAGATTGCTTAAATATGAGCTACTTTTTTATATACTGGATTGTTCTTTCTTGTTGATTTATGGCAGTTCTTTAAATAGTCTACATACTAATCTTTCTGTGCATACTAATCTTGTTTTAGTGATTCTTATTGCAAAAACATTCATCTACCTTGTGGCTTGTCTTTTCACTTCATGGTGTTTTTCATTTGTTTGTTTTGTTTCTGTTTTTTTTTTCAACTTTCATTATGGAAAATTTCAAATGTAGAAAAAGTTGACAGAATTGCATAATGAACCTCCACATACCATCATCCAGATTCAATGATTATCAATATACCAACATTCTTATATCATCTATAATTCACTCACACCCCACGAATGGCAAAAATAAAAGAAATGTCTAACTACCCCATAAATTAATGCTATAAAAATACCACACCCATATGTGCTTGGCTGGTTTTATTTTTATGTTTGTATATTTGATTGTTTTGTTTTATTTTAGTCTGGGGCACTCTGGTATTGTGGCATCACAGTATCACAAATGATTTCAAGATGTTATAGAAAACTTAGAGAATTTTAAAAATTAAATTTATTCTATATTTTTGAAACAGACACTGAAAAGGTGATGTTTTAAAAGAAAGTATTTTATCCTCCAATTATTCTCAATATTATAATACAACCAAACATATTAAATAGTGTCCTGTGATTTTTATTACTAGTGCTTATTTTATAGAAAAACCATGGACTTGTGGATTGTGAAAAATAGCCAAAGATTGACTCATTGGAAGTTACAAGTTCCAACTTTTTGCATGGTGAAAATTAAAGTATGCAATCTAGATTTTTTTTTAAATGTTGTAAACTAACTCTGCCTTCTGTTTATAATTAAATGTACATATATATTTATTTTCCTGCTCTTTCTAAGAAATGCAAGCATCAGCCCTGTAGTATTAGTATTGAACTGAAATCTATTAGAAAGTTTAATGTTTAGTTATTTTTACTCTCATTACATTGCTAACTAAAACACCAATTCAGATAATCACAAAATTCAATTTATATGTTTCTTAAAATACTCAATGCTTTTCTTTTAAAAAGTCATTTAGAACGGTAGCACTAAGCTTAAAAAAATCCTTTGAACTAACTTTGTGAAGAATGTTATTTCTCTGGGTTCCCAAGAACCCAAAGTACAACTATTTAAAAGTATTAATCATAATAATCATAAAAATAATGTGGCCTGGAGCAGTGACTTCTGCCTGTAATCCCAGCACTTTGCGAGTCTGAGGCGGGAGGAACACTTGAGGCCAGGAGTTCAAGACCAGCTTGGGCAAAACAGTGAGACTCCCATCTCTACCAAAAACAAAAGAAAAAAAGAATGTGATCATATTAGTTTAAGATAATGGCATATTAGTTGTTATACAAAGAATTTTGATTATAAAGGGTAATTTTGAATAATAATTGATTTGCAAGACCAAGGAGGATGGAAAATGGATATACGTCACAGCATTTGGTTTGCTTTGCTTTCAATTTCACACTCAATAAACAAAGAACCAACAATATTTGGAAGCTTGTTTTAAGAGTTCTGCATCAGTAAAGCAGAGGCAATGAAAGTACACAGCTAGTCTATCCATCTGCTTATATCATATTTGGAAAAGACTATATTAAATATTTTGAAACTAATATGATTACAGAGCTGTCCATCATATTACTAAACTCCATATATTATTGCTGCATTTCTCTCTAATATTCAACATTTTATTTTTTAATTTTGATAGGAACAGTCTTGATTTACTTCCATAAGAAATCATTGTTCTTAGTTACCTTAGAGGTGATATCATCTGCTGGAAAGGGTCAGCTCCGAGACAAGGAGAACAACAGATTTGGATTTTTTCTATCTCAGAAGATATAAGCAAACAAAACAAAATAACATATATGTTGTTTAGCATTGTTTTTCTCGGACTATGTGAGCTAGCTTGCAATGGAGTTGGGGGTGTTTTTCTGTTGAATTTATTTTAGTACTTCACACTTATTTTTAATTTTCACTTCCGTATCACTGAAAGAGCCCCAAGTTGGAAGTCAGAAAATCCATAATGAAGTATCTTTCTTGGTAATCTGGTATATTTGTTTTCTTATATGTAGCAAAGCAGTATTTTCTAGATCAAATCTAAGAATAATTTTAATGTAAGTTTTTGCTATTGTGTCACTGTATTTGGGCTGCTATAACAATATACTCTATATTGGGTAATTTGTAAATAATAGAAATATACTTCTCACAGTTCTGGAGGCTGGGAAGTTCAAGATCAATATACTAGCAGATTTTTTGGTGAAGGCTTGCTCTCTTCTTCATAGATGGTGCCTTTTGCTGCATCCTTACGTGGCAAAAGGGCCCCCAAGCTCCCAAGAGCACAAGTGCCATTCATGATTGCAGAGTCTTCATGATCTAATCAACTCCCAAAGTCCATACCTCTTAATATTATTGCATTGAGGATTAAGTTTTAATATATGAATTTTTCAGGGACACACACATTCAGAACACAGCACTATTGTGTGTGTGTGTGTGTGTGTGTGTGTGTGTGTATATATATATAAAATAGACTTGGAATGTCTCGCATAGTTAAACATTAGGCCATTGGGTAGACACCAAGAGAAATGGACAGTAATGGCTCAAAAAGAATCTGAATTCTAAATAAAATGGGAAACTCCATCCTTTCTTTTCAATCTCTTAAGCCAATAGTCTTATCTTGCTTCTACATTTTGCTTTAAGTTGGAGAAATTCTGAGACTGTAACTGCATATGCAAACAGAAGTTGAGGATACAGCCAGTTTTGGAGACTTAAAGGCAAAATAACTTGTTTTCTGTTTTGTTTTGTTTTTTATCTTGATGACCATAACCGTGAAAAAAAAATGGAGATTGCTTCAAGGAATACTTTGAACAAGTATTTAGCTATTAAGGATTTTCCTCTTATGGAGAAGCTGTCAGATCATATGTTTCTTTTCATTTTCATGTTCTGATAAAAGGAGAAAAGGCAAGCAGAATTTAAAATATGCACATTAGATAAAAAATAAATTGCAAAATTTCCCCTGTATGCAGATACTTATCTAATAAGGAAAATCCATACAGAATATCTTCAACTGTAGTTATTGATTTCAAATGGGCACAAAGAACTTACTAAGCAGTCACATAAGGTACTATAACAAGATTCCACAACAACATGTAGATTTCCCTACGCCTATAGTTCAGCAAATAAAATACTACCAAAACAATAAATCAGTTGGTTTTCTAAATATTTATAGTATCTTTACTACGTACCAAAGTAATGCACATCAACTCTAAAGTATCTAATGAACTCTAATAAACTCAGGTAATTACTAAAGTAGAATAAAATAAGCAGAGCTATAACTAGTAATCTTTCCATAATTTTACCATTCGACATTTAAAATGGTGTTTGCTGTTTATTATTCATGTTATATTTACTGTTACTAGTATTTTTTCTCATTTTCACATTGTTTCTTAAAAACTACAATTCTAAATGCTGTACGTTATCTCTTTGTCATTATGGATGTAATTAATCCACAGTTGTTGAACATGTAAATTGTCTTTAACTTTCTATGCTGTGAAAAATACTACAGTATATAGTTTTGTATACTTGTCTGTAAACACTTCTCTGATTATTTTTTCGGAATATAATCTTAACATTGAATAGCTTGTAAAAGAAAAGTACATTTTTAAGGCAGTTACTAAATTTCCTTCCGGAAAGACTGCACAAATATGTTCTTACCAAAACTGTACAAGAGTATCACTTGGTTTCCTTACATCAACCAGCTTTGGCTATTATTATTATGAACAAAACATGATAATTTAGTAATTGAAGGAATTGTTCCTTTTCTTCTTTTAATATATATTTCTTTAGATATTGACATTTTATATAGGGACTATTTTAGTTTCATCACTTGTGAATTATTTGCTTGTGTCCTTCCAAGTATTCACTTCTAAAGAGTTAAATAAGTTACATGTGAAAGAGAAATCTGGTTTTAGCAAACAGTTGACACATATGGCCCAAACTAACTCTTCACGGTACTTCATAGATGCAAAATAATTATTCCCTTAACTTTTATTTTATATGTACTGGGAGCTAAAATTCTTCCCTGAGATTACTTTGCAGTGTTTTAAGAATTCCAAAAGTGTTGGCATGTAACCTCGTATAATGTGCCTTAACTTAGTATGCCAGATTAATTGTAGGGGAAAATGCAGTGAATAATCAGCTTAGTGAGAAACTGCGTCATTAAATTGCATCTTAATGAGAATGCATCCCTGTTCCTATTCCTGAACTTGGGTTATGTTACATTTTCCCCATATAAAACAATATCTTGGTAAGTATCCATACTTGATGCTACCTTAGTCTTTACCATTTTATACGAAGCTGTTGAGCTAAAATAAATAGACAATTATTTTAAAGCTGTAGGCAATTTTATTAATGACTCTAATCAATGATAGAAAAACAAAACATGTTTGTAAGAATAACTAGGCTGTTATTGAAATTCAAAGAAACAATTTTAATTCTCAAAATATAAGGAAAATATGCCATATAAGGATGCATATTCACAATAATCCTACTTCCCTAGCTACACTTCCAAGTCTAAGACAGTATAGCCCTAAGTCAGTCACCATTGCAATGCCATGCTTCTTATGTTCTTCCTTCTACTTATTATGTTCTCATTTACCCCCAGAAACTCTTTGCATTCTTCAATACCCACTTTGAGTATCATCCTCTCTGTGGAAGTATTTCAAAACTTCCTCTCCCACAACACTAGCGTACATTGTTCCATTCATGGTGATTTGTAAATGTTTCTAAGTGTCTGTTTCTCCAATCTCTTATTAAATTCTTTGAGAAAGACTTTGTATTTACCTTGTATGTCTAGCACCTTGCAGGTTTTGGTATATTAAAGATATTCAACAGCAATCTGTGAAATGAATACATTAACTGATGAATTAATTAAATAAAAACTGGGAAGTATTTAAATACATGTATAATTTGAGCTTTCAAAAGAAACATTGGACTATATTTTCCCCATTAGTATATCAGTTTTTAAAAACTGTATTTCTTATTTTATACAATAATAAGTCTGTGACTTTATCTAACTAGGTAAAGGAAGGTGAAGAGCCAATTATCAGATTAATGAAATTAGAAAGAGCCATTTTTCACATAACATTTTTTTCTAATATTTCATTATTCCTTAAGAATGAAAAATATTATATTTAATTGGCCTTTTTACTCTTTGCCATTTGATTTTATTTTTTTTAGCAGTTTTGGAAGTACTGCTTGATACTCTTTTCCCATTCTCTGATACAATGCAATTCAATCTCCATTTACTGCATTTGTATTCCAAGTATTTCACCAGTACTGGGAGTGGGGACAATGATGTAAGGCACAGTCTGCACTCTCAAGACATTTATAATCTATTGGAGGAATTATATGTATATAACAATTTTACAATTTTATGGTGTAGTTAGTACCATGAATAGACTATCAACATATATCTGGGAAAGGGATTGTTAATTTTACCTGGAGCTTTCAATGAAGAGCATATAATTCAAGAAAGCATTAAATGAAAGTAAGACCTCAAAGAAAGAGAGCAGAGGAAAGAAAGAACAAGGGGAACTATAGCATGAATTTGTAACATTGATGATCTATAACTATACTCTTTTAAAATGTTATATTAGAAATAGAGAGAGAAGATTGAGAATTATAACAAATTAGTGTAGCTTTTGAATTCCATGTAATTGAGTTAAGACTTTACATTCAGGAGTCAGCAAATATTTTTAAGCACAGAAATTGGAGAAATTGTTTTATGCTTAAGAAAGTCAACTCTGGCAACAGTGTGAGTAGAGCAAATAGACTTCAGCATTTGGAACTTTGAAGAATTAAGAAGCTGTGGCAATAGAAATGATCCATAATTACCTAGACATGATGGAGGTAGAACTGATAAAATCTGGTGACCAGTTGGATAATAGAATGCAGTCAGATTTCTAGACTCAGCAATTCAAATGAATGACAAGTATCATTAACCATAAGAATACACAATACGTTTTTACAAAAAACTTATTCAAAGTGAAAATGGTATTAAAGAATGCATTTCATGATGCAAGAGCCATGCAGAAACTTATGCCTTTTACTTATCCCTGTTTAAAAGCCATAGAACGGGTGAATATACCTATAAAGTTCAGATGAAAAATTTGTGGTAAAGTGCCTTTGAGACTTTCCTTATTCTGGTGATCTTTTCTTTTATACGAAGCTTTTCCCTCTTGTCTTTTCTTGACTAATATTTTAAAGTTCTAGATACCACATTTAAACAACTCAACTCATTTACCAAATACAGGATTCCCTGTTTTCTCACTTTCCCTCAAAATTGATCTCACTCCAATGCTGCCTCATATGTGAAGAAACTAGATCTCTCATATATGGCTAGTAGAAATGTAAAATGTCACAGCCACTCTGGAAATTTGTATGGTGGTTTCTTGTATAACTAAACATTCACTTAGCATATGGTTCAGCAATCACACTCTTGAAAATGTACCCTAGAGAAATGATAACTTGTGTCTACACAGAACCTGTTCATAGCAGCTTCATTTATAGCACCCCAAAACTGGGAAAAATTCAGATGTTCTTCGAATTAGACTTCACTGCTAAAGAAACCATAGAATGATAGTATATCCATAACACAGAATAGTAGTCAGTAATATAAATGAATAGACTATTGATATTTGCAAAACTTTGATGAATTTTCGAAGAATTGCACTGAGTGAAAAAAGCAAACTTTGAAAGATTACATAATATATGTGCTTTGGACTGAATGTTTGTGCCCCTCCCCAAAAGTATATGTTGAAACCCTAAACCTAAATGTGATGAGATTTCAAGGTGAGACCTTTGGGACCTAATTAGGTCATGAGGGTGGAATCCTCATGATTAAATTAGCACCCTTATAAAAAGAGAAAGATATTTGAAATATTTCTCTCTAGCCAGAAAGAAGGCCCTCATCAGAGCCTGTTTAGGCTGGCATACTGATCTCATACTTCCAGGCTCCAGAACCATGAGAAATAAATGTTTGCTGTTTAAGTCACCCAGACTATAGTAATTTATTAAAGCCGCTCCAACTGACTAAGGCAATATAATTCTATGCATATACCATTTGTGAAATGAAAAAATTATGAACATGGAAAAGAAATTAGTGGTTGTCAGGGCTTAGGGACAATGGTAAGCAGGGAGGAAGGTGTGACTTCAAAGAGGAACACAAGATAGACCTTTGTGGTAATGGAATATTTCCGTGTCTTTTTTGCAGTGATGGTTACTTGAACTTATACATGTAAGGAAATGGTATAGAACTATACAAATTTGTTGTACCAATGTCAATATTCAGGTTTTGATTGTGTGCTATAATTCTGTAAGATATAACCTTTGGAGGAAACTGAGTAAAGGTTATGATATGATTTGGCTCTGTCATCACCCACATCTTATCTTGAATTGTAGCTCTCATAATCCCCATGTGTTGTGGGAGTGACCTGGTGGAAGGTAATTGAATCAAGGGGGGAGGTTTTTCCCATGCTATTCTCATAATAGTAAAAAAGTGTTACTAGATCTGATGGTTTTATAAAGGGCAGTTCCCCTGCACATGCTCTCTTGCCTGTTGCCATGTAAGATGTGACTTCGCTCTTCCTTTGCCTTCCACCATGATTGTGAGGACTCCCTCACAGTTAGCCATGCTGAACTGTGAGTCAATTAAACCCCTTTCCTTTATAAACTACCCAGTCTCAGGAAAGTCTTTATTAACAGCATGAGAACGGACTACTCCAGGGTACATAAGACCTCTCATCTTTGCAATTACTGTGCTATAATTAAATAATTCTTTAATAATAAACAGTTAAAAATGAAGTCTTTATTAAGACTACTTTTCCCCCAGGATTGACTTTGTGAGTATACAATCTGTGTGTTTATCATCAGGACCCTGAGCTTTTCTTAATGTTGTGCTGTTGCTGTGTTGAAACTCTTAATAAAATTTTAACAAGAGACCCCACATTTTCATTTTGCACAGGGCTCCACAAATTATGTATCTGGTCTTGGTTGCCCTAGTTAATTCCTGATATTTGTTTAAGACAGTATCAAACTTTATTTTCTGGTGACTCTTAGGAAACTTTACTCATTATCAGGTATAATTTTAATTTTTTTAGTCATCATTTGAGACTGACAATTTTTCTTTTGTTCTCCTTCACCACAAATATCAAAATGAAAGGTGTCATTCTGGGGAAGCGGCCAAATACTTTAGAGACAACACGAGCATCTTGCAGCTCAAAATAAAAGGGATAATCTGATTTTTATTTAATTAAACACAAGCCAGATGATAAATATACAGAAGTGACTTTAAGGTATCTTCCCAACATATGTTAATTTTCAGTTGAATAAAAACAGCATATGTAAAGAACACTTTGATCCATTCTTTTTCTTTTAATCTTATTTTTTTCACAATGATTCTTCGTACAACTCAGAACATTTATCCTTTTGATTATAAACTTCCCATCCTTTTTAAGTTGGATAAAAGATACTTGCTTGCTCCACATACAAGAATCATTTCAAGTGATTTATTATAGTAATAACAATAAGAATGACAAATTAAATCAGGATAGCACTTAAGGTACTTGCTAAATGCAAGTCTCCTAGATATTTGAATTGTTCATTCAGAGAATAGTAACTTTATCTGCATATAATCCACATTTCAAAATCAGAAGAGTTTATTTGGAATTTTACGTTGTTCCTCCTGTAGCTTTCCTGTTCCAGTGCCAAAAGCAGAAGGGGGCTATCACTCTCCCTCTACTAGCTTTAAAGAGAAGAGGTAAGGACAAGAATGACATCTTGCTGACTTCACTTCTCCTTGCCCTGACCCCTGAAACTAAGTATGTGTAAATCACTCTTGTAATATTTCTGCCTTGGCTTATTATCCCATACTCTGTTTTTCTTTTTTGTAAATTCTCCTTCTTGCCTCCTTGTGGTTAAGTTCATTATCAACACCCTCTACCTTAAAATTAAAGTAATCAGAGCTATATTTTTCTACTTTGATGCTTAAAACTTTGCTTTCTTCACCTGTACCTTGCATTCACGCTGTTTATTTCACTTCAAGATAATATTAATTAATTAACTTATTTATTTATTTTGCTCTTTTATTTTTTTTTATTTCAATAGCTTTTGTGGTACAAGTGTTTTTGGTTACACAGATGAATTAAATAGTGGTGAATTCTGAGATTTAATGTACCCATCACCTGAATAGTGTACTCTGTAGCCAATATGTAGTTTTTTTATCTCACACTTCCCCTTTACCTTCCCCCTCCTGAATCTCCAAAGTCTGTTATATCACTCTGTATGCTTCTATGTACTCATAATTTAGCTCCCACTTATAAATGAGAACATAAGGTTTTTGGTTTCCCATTTCTAAGGTACTTCACTTAGAATAATGACCTCCAGATCCATCCAAGTTGCTGCAAAAGACATTATTTTATTCCTTTTTATTTGAGTAGTATTTCATTGTTCGTATATACCACATTTTTTTATCCACTCATTGATCGATGGCCACTTAGGTTGGTTCCATGTCTTTGCAATTGTGAATTGGACTGCAATAAACTTATACATGCATTTTTTTTTTTTTTTTTGATAATGACTTATTTTCCTTTGGGTAGATACCCAGTAGCGGGATTGCAGGATCAAATGGTAGATCTACTTTAAGTTCTTTAAGAATTTCCACACTGTTTTCTATACAGATTGCACTAATTTACATTCCCACCACCAGTGTATAAGCATTCCTCTTTCATCACATCTATATCAACATCTATTGTTTTTGAATTTTTCATAATGGCCATTCTTTCAGAACTAAGGTGGTACCTCATTGTGGTTTTAATTTGTATTTCTCTGGTGATTAGTGATGTTGAGTATTTTTCTCATACATTTTTTCGTCATTTGCATATCTTCTTTTGAGAAATGCCTATTTATATCATTTGTCCAGTTGTTGATGGGATTATTGACTTTTTCTTGCTGACTTGTTTAAGTTCTTGTAGATTTTAGATACTAGTCCTTTGCTGGATGCAGTTTGAAAATATTTTCTCCCACTTTTTGTCTGTTTGCTGATTATTTGTTTCGCCACACAGAAGCTTTTAAATTCAATCAGGTCCCATTTATTTTTGTTTTTATTGCTGTTGCATTGTCTTTTGGGGTTTAAGACATAAATTATTTTTCTAGGGCACTGTCCAGAAGAGTTTTTACAATGTTATTTTCTAAAATTTTGTATGGTTTTAGGTGTTGGATTTAAGTCTTTAATCCATCTTGAGTTGATTTTTCTATAAGGTGAGAGATAGGAATACAGTTTCAGTCTTCTGCATGTGGCTAGCCAGTTTTCCCAGCACCATTTATTAATAGGGTGTCTCTTCCCCAAATTATGTTATTGTATGCTTTGTTGAACATCAGTTGGTTGTATTTAGTTTTATTTCTGGGTTATCGATTCTTGTTCATTGGTCTATATGTCTACTTTTATACCAGTACCATGCTGTTTTGGTAACTACAGCCTTGTAGTATTACTTGAAATTTGGTAATGAGATGCCTCTGTATTTGTTCTTTTTGCTAAGGATTTGCTTTGGTTACTTGAGCTCTTTTTTGGTCCCATATGAATTTTAAGGATTATTGTTTTTTCTAGTTCTATGAAAAATGATGTTGGTATTTTGATAGAATTGCATTGAATCTCTAGATGGCTTTGGGCAGTAGGGTCATTTTCACAATATTGATTTTTCCAATCAATGAGCATGGGAAGTGTTTCCATTTGTTTCAGTCATCTATGGCTTCTTTCAGCAATGTTTTGTAGTTCTCCTTATAGAGATTTTTACCTTCTTGGTTAAATATATTCTTAGATATTTTATTTTATTTTTTGCACCTATTGTAAAAGGGATTGAGTTCTTCATTTTATTTTCAGCTTGATCATTGTTGGTGTATAGAAGTGCTACTGATTTGTGTACATTGACTTTGTAACCTGAGACTTTACTGAATTCGTTTTTGAAATCTAGGAGTCTTCTGGAGGAAGCTATAAAGTTTTCTAGGTATATAATTATATCATTGGCTAATAGTGATAGTTTGACTTTCTCTTTTCCAATTTGGATGCCTTTTATTTATACCTCTTGCCTCAATTCTCTGGCTAGGACTTCAAATACTATGTTGAATAGAAGTAGTAAAAGTGGCCATCCTTGTCTTGTTCCAGTTTTCAGAAAGGATTCTTTCAACTGCACTACATTCAGTATGTTGGCTGTGGGTTTGTCACATATGACTTTTATTAATTTAAGTTGAGTCCCTTCTATGCCTAGTTTGTTGAGGATTTTTATTATAAAGGGATGCTGGATTTTTTTGAATGCTTATTCTGTATCTGTTGAGATTATCATATAGTTTTTCTTTTTAATTCTGTTTATGTGAGTATTGCATTTATTGACTTGTGTATGTTAAACCACCCCTGCATCCCTGGGATGAAACCCACTGATGATTGTATATTATCTTTTTGGTTTGCTGTTTGATTAGGCTAGCTAGTAATTTGTTGAGAATTTGCATGTATGTTCATCAAGGATGTTGGTTTCGTTTTCTTATTTTGCTATATCCTCTTCTGATTTTGGTATCAGAGTAATACTGGCTTCATAGAATGAATTGGGAAGGATTCCATCTTTCTTAATCTTTTGGAATAGTTTTAGTAGGATTGATACCAATTCCTCTTTGAACACCTGATAGGATTCAGCTTTAACTCCATCTGGCCTTGGCTTTTTTGGTTGGTAATTTTTTATTACTGATTCAATCTCACTGCTTGTTATTAATCTTCTAAGAGATTAAGAGATTATATATCTTCCTGATATAATCTAGGGGGGTACATGTTGATATGGTTTGGCTCTGTGTCCCCACACAAATCCCACCTTGAATTGTAATAATCCCCGCATGTTGTGGGAGAGACCCAGTGGCAGATAATTGAATCAATAATGGGGGTGTGTTTTTCCCGTGCTATTCTTGTGATAGTAAAAATTCTCACAAGATCTGATGGTTTTATAAAAGGGAGTTCTAAACATGCTCTCTTGCCTGCTGGTATGTAAGACACGACTTTGCTCCTCATTTGCCTCCTGCCATAATTGTGAGGCCACCCCAGCCATGTGCAACTGTAAATCAATTAAACCTCATTCCTTTATCAATCAATTACCCAATCATGGATATGTATTTATTAGCAGCCTGAGAACAGACTAATACAGTAAATTTGTACTGAGTAGTAAGACACTGCTGTAAAGATACCCAAAAAGTGGAAGTGGCTTTGGAACTGGTTAACAGGCAAATGTTGGAACAGCTTGGAGTGCTCAGAAAAATACAGGCAGATGTGGGAAGGTTTGAAACTTCCTAGAGACTTGTTGAATGGCTTTGACCAAAATGCTGATAATGATATGGACAATGAAGTCCAGGATGAGGTGGTCTCAGATGGAGGTGAAGAAGTTGTTGGGGACTGTAGTAAAGGTGACTCTTGCTATGTTTTAGCACAGAGGTTGGTGGCATTTTGCCCCTTCCCTAGAAATCTGCAGAACTTTGAACTTGAGAGACATGATTTAGGGTATCTGGTGGAAGAAATTTCTAAGAAACAAAGAGTTCAAGAGGTGACTTGGATGCTGTTAAAATCATAAGTTTTATGTATTCACAAACATATGGTTTGGAATTGAAACTTATGTTTAAAAGAGAAGCAGAGCATAAACATTTAGAAAATTTGCAGCCTCACAATGAGATAGAAAATAAAAACCCATTTTCTGAGGAGAAATTCAAGCCAGCTGCTGAAATTTGCATAAGTAATGAGGAGCCAAATGTTAATCACCAATATGATGGGGAAAATATCTTCAGGGCATGTCAGAGACCTTCATGGCAGCCCCTCCCATCACAGACCTGGAGGCCTAGGAAGAAAAAATGGTTTTGTGGGCCAGGCCTGGGGACCCCATGCTTTGTACACCCTAGGGACTTGGTCTCCTGCATTTCAGCATCTCCAACTGTGGCTAAATATGGCCAATGTACAGCTCAGGCTATTGCTTCAGAGGGTGCAAGCCACAAGCCTTGGTGGCTTCCCCATGGTGTTGGGCCTGCAGGTGCACAGAAATCAAGAACTGAGGTTTGGGAACCTCTGCCTAGATTTTACAGGATGTATGGAAACACCTGGATGTCTGGGCAGAAGTTTGCTCTAGGGGTGGGGCCCTCATGGAGAACCTCTGCTAGGGCAGTGTGTAAGGGAAATGTGGATTTGAAGCTCCCACACAGAGTCCCCACTGGGGCACTGCCTCGTGGAGCTGTGAAAAGAGGGCCACCATCTTCCAGATCCCAGAATGGTAGATCCACCTACAGCTTGCACTGTGTGCCTGGAAAAGCTTCAGACACTCAATACCAGCCCAGGAAAGCAGCTGGGATGGGGACTGTTCCCTACAAAGCCACAGGGAAGAACTGACAAGACCATGTGAACCCACCTCTTGGATCAGTGTGACCTAGATGTGAGACATGGAGTCAAAGGAGAACATTTCATAGCTTTAAGATTTGGCAGCCCTGCTAGATTTTGGACTTGCATGGGGCCTGTAGCCCTTGTTTTGGCCAATTTCTCCCATTTGGAATGAATGTATCTACCCAATGCCTGTACCCCCCATTGTATCTAGAAAATAACTAACGTGCTTTAGATTTTACAGTCCCCTAGGTGGAAGATACTTGCCTTGTCTCAGATGAGACTTTAGACTGTGGAGTTAGTTCCTTTTGAGTTAGTGCCGAAATGAGTTAAGACAATGGGGGAAGTGTTGGGAAGGCATGACTGGTTTTGAAATATGAGGACGTGAGATTTGGGAGGGGCCAGGGGTGGAATGATATAGTTTAGCTCTGTGTCCCCAGCCAAATATCATCTTGAATTGTAAGAATTCACATGTGTTATGGGATGGACCCAATAGGAGGTAATTGAACCATTGGGGTGGGTTTTTCCCATGCTGTTCTCATGATAGTGAATAAGTCTCACAGGTTTGATGGTTTTATAAAGGGGAGTTCCCCTGCACATGCTCTCTTGCCTGACACCATGTAAGACATGACTTTAGTCCTCATTCACCTTTCACCATGATTGTAAGGCTTCCACAGCCATGTGGAACTGTGAATCAATTTAACCTCTTTCCTATATAAATTACCCAGTCTTGGGTATGTCTTTGTTAGCAGTGTGAGAACAGACTAATACACGTTTCCAGGAATTTATCCATTTCCTCTAAGTTTTCCAGTTTGTGTATATAATAGTGTTCATAGCAGTCTCAAATGATATTTTGTGTTTTTGTGGTGTCATTTGGAATGTCCCCAGTTTCACTTATAATTCAGTTTATATGAATTTCTTCTTTTCTTAGCTAATTTTGCTAATGGTCTATCAATTTTGTTTATCTTTTCAAGGAACAATAGCTTTTTGTTTCATTGATCTTTTGTATTTTATGTTTGTTTGAATTTCATTTACTTCTGCTCTGATCTTTGTTATTCCTTTCCTTCTGCTTGCTTTGAGTTAGGTTGTTCTTTCTTGCCTTGTTCCTTGAGGCATGATACTAGATTGTCAATTTGTGGTCAAACTTTCCTCTTAGCACTGCTTTTGCTGGATCCCAGAGGTTTTGGTAATCAGTATCACTATTATCATTCATTTCAAAGACTTAAAAAATTTTTCATCTTAATTTTTTTATCTCAAAAATCATTCAGAAACAAATTGTTTAATTTTCATGTATGTGTAAAGTTTGAGGAGTTCCTTTTGAAGTTGATTTCTAGTTTTATTTCACTGTGGTCTGAAAATATACTTGATATGATTTTGATTTTTTTAATTTATTGAGACTTGTTTTGTGGTCAATTATATGGATTATATTGAAGAGTGCTCCAAGTGCTGGTGAGAAGAATGTATACTCTGCAGTTCTCAGGTAGAATGATCCATAAACATCTGTTAAGTTCATTTATTGTAGAGTGTAGTTTTAAGTACATTTGGTTGTTGTCATTGTTGTTGTTATTGTTGACTGTCTCAATCTGTCTACTGCTACCAGTGGATTATTGAAGTCTTCCACTACTATTGTATTGCTATCTACCTCATTTTTTAGGTCTTGTAGTATTTTTTTTTACCTTTTATTTTAATTCCGGGGTACAAGTGCTAGTTTGTTACATAGGTAAACTTTTGTCATAGGGGATTGTTGTGCAGATTATTTTATCACCCAGGTATTAAGCCCAGTATCCATTAGTTATTTTTCTGATCTTCTCCCTCCTTCCACATTCCACCCTCTGAAAAACCCCGTTGTGTTTTTTTCCCCTCTATGTGTCCACATGTTGTCATAGTTTAGCACTCACTTCGAAATGAGAACATGTGGCATTTGGTCTTCTGTTCCTGCATTTGTTTCCTAAGGATAATTGCCTCCAACTCCATCCATGTCCCTGCAAAGGACATGATCTCATTCTTTTATGGCTGAATAGTATTCTATGGTGTCTATGTACCACATTATTTTTATACTGTTTATTACTGATGAGCGTTTAAGTTGATTTCATGTCTTTGCTACTGTGAATAGTGCTACAATGAACATATGTGTGCATGTGTCTTTATAATAGAAAGATTTATACTCCTTTGAGTATATAGACAGTAATGAGATTGCTGGGTTGAATGGTATTTCTGTCTTTAGGTCTTTGAGGAATTGCCACACTGTCTTCCACAATGGTTGAACAAATTTACACTCCAAACAACACTGTATATGTATGCCAGCATTTGTTATGTTTTGACTTTTTAATAATTGCCATTGTGACTGGTGTGACATGCTATCTCATTTTGGTTTTGATTTGCATTTCACTAATAATCAGTGATGTTGAGCTTTTTTTCATATGATTGCTGGCCACATGTATGTCTTCTTTTCCAAAGTATCTTTCATGTACTGTGCCCACTATTTTAATGAGGTTTTTCTTTGTAAATTTGTTTAACTTCCTTATAGATGCTGGATATTAGACCTTTGTGAGATGCATAGTTTGCAAAAATTTTCTACCATTCTGTAGGTTGTCTGCCTACTCTGCTGATGGTTTATTTTGCTGTGCAGAAGCTCTTTAGTTTAATCAGATCCCATTTGTCAATTTTTGCTTTTCTTGCAATTGCTTTTGAAGACTTCGTTGTAAAATCTTTACCTGTGCCCATGTCTTGAATGGTACTGCCTAAGTTATCTTCCAGGATTTTTATAGATTTGGGTTTTTCATTTAAGTATTTAATCCATTTTGAGTTAATTTTTGTATATGGTGTAAGGAAGGGGTCCAGTTTTAATCTTCTGCATATGGCTAGCCAGTTATCCCAGCACCATTTATTGAATACAGAATCCCTTTCCCATTGCTCGTTTTTGTTAGGTTTGTCAAAGATCACATAGTTGTAAGTGTGCAATATTATTTCCAGGTTCTTTATTCTGTTCCATTGGTCTGTGTTTCTGTTTTTGTACCAGTCCCATGTTGTTTGGGTTACTGTAGCCCTGTAGTATAGTTTGAAGTTGGGTAGCGTGATGCCTCCAGCTTTGTTTTTTGTTTTTTGGTTTTTTTTTTGTTTGTTTGTTTGTTTAGGATTACCTTGGCTATTCTGGCTTTTTTGTAGTTCTATATGAATTTTTAGATGGTGTTTTCTAGTTCTGAGAAGAATGTCATGAGTCGTTTGATAGGCATATTGTTGAATTTATACATCGCTTTGGGCCGTATGTTCATTTTTACAATATTGATTCTTCCTATTCATAAGCATGGAATGTTTTTCCATTTGTTTGTAGCATCTCTGACTTCAAGGAGCTGTGTTTTATAGTTCTACTTGTAGAGATCTTTCACCCCCCCAGATAGCTGTATTCCTAGGTGTTTTATTCTCTTTGTAACAATCGTAAATGGGAGTAGATTCCTGGTTTGGATCTTGACTTGACTGTTGTTAGTGTATAGGAATGCTAGTAATTTTTGCACAGTAATTTTGTATCTTGTGACTTTGCTGAAGTTGTTTATCAGCTTAAGAAGCTTTTGGGCTGAGTCTATTGGGTTTTCTACATATAGGATTATGTCATCTGCAAACAGGGATAGTTTCTTTCATTTGCCTGATTGCCCTTAGTAAGCCTTTCCAATACTATGTTTAATAGGAGTGATGAGAGGGCATCCTTGTCTTGTGCCTGTTTTCAAGGGAAATGCTTGAAGTTTTTGCCCATTCAGTATGATATTAGCTATGGGTTTGTCATACATGGCTCTTATAATTTTTAGGTATGTTTCTTCCATAACTACTTCATTGTAAGTTTTTAACATAAATCAATGTTGAATTTTGTTGAAAGCCTTTTTGGCATCTAGGGAAATAATCATGTGTTTTTTGTATTTAGTTCTGTTTATGTGCTAAATCACATAAATTGATTGGCATATGTTGAATAAATCTTCAATCCCAGGGATAAAGCCTACTTGATTGTGGTGCATAAGCATCTTGATGTATTGATCGATTCAGTTTGCTAGTATTTTGTTGAGAATTATTGTATCTATATTCATCAAGGATATTAGCCTGAAGTTTTCTTTTTGGTTGTATCTCTGCCAGGTTTTGATATCAGAATAATGCTGGCTTCATGGAATGACTTAGAGAGGAGTCCCTTCTCCTCATAGTTTTGGAATATTTACAGCCATAATGGTATCAGCTCTTCTTTATACTTCTGGCAAATTTCAGCTGTGAATTCATCTGGTTCTGGGCTTTTCTTTGGTTGGGAGGCTATTTATTACTGACTCAATTTTACAGCTTGTTATTGGTCTTCTCAGGAATTCATTTTCTTACTGGTTCATTCCTGGGAGGGTGTATACATCCAGTAATTCATCTATTTTGTCTGTATTTTCTAGTTTATGCATATAGAGGTCTTCATAATATTCTTTGATGGTTGTATTTCTATGAGGTCAGTGGTAATATGTCCCTTGTTATTTCTGATTGTGTTTATTTGAATCTTCTCTCTTTTTTGTTCTTTATTACTCTAGCTAGCAGTCTATATATTTTATTTTTAAAAAAAAAAACAGCACGTGGATTCATTGATCTTTGGAATTTCTGTGTGTCTCTGGCTCTTTCAGTTCAGCTCTGATTTCAGTTATTTCTTGTCTTCCGCTAGCATTGAGATTTGTTTGCTCTTGGCTCTCTAGCTCTTTTAATTGTGATGTTAGGTTGTTAATGTGAAATCGTTCTAACTTTTTGATGTGGAGATTTAACACTATAAATTTCCCTCTCACCACTGCATTTGCTTTGTCCCAGAGATTTTGGTATGGTGTAGCTTGGTCTTCATTATTTCAAAGATTTCTGCCTTAATTTTATTATTTATCTAAAAGTTATTTAGGAGCAGGTTATTCAATTTCCATGTAATTGTAGGGATTTGAGTAAATTTCTTAGTCTTGATTTCTGATTTAATGGTGCTGTGGTCTAAAAGACTGTTTGTTAGGATTACAGCTCTTTTATATTTGCTGAGGAGTGTTTTAACTCCAATTATATGATAGATTTTAGAGTATGTTCTATGTGGCAATGAGAAGATTTTATATTCTGTTGTTTTTAGGTGGAAAGTTTCATAGTTACCTATAAGGTTCATTTGATCCAGTTTAGGTTCTGAATATCTTTATTAATATTCTGTCTTGATTATCTGTTTAATATTGTCACTGGGGTGTTAAAGTCTCCCACTATTACTGTGTGAGACTCTAAGTCTCTTTGTAGGTCTCTAATAAATTGCTTTATGAATCTGAGTGTTCCTGTGTTTCAGTCCATACATATTTAGAATAGTTAACTCTTCTTGTTGAATTTAACCCTTTGTCACTATGCAATTCCCTTGTCTTTTTTAATTTTTGTTGATATAAAGTCTATTTTGTCAGAAACTAGGATTACAAATTCTGCTTTTTTTCTGTTTTCCATTTGCTTGGTAGATTTTTCTTTATTCCTTTATTTTGAGCCTCTCTGTGTCATTGCATGTGAGATGGGTCTCTTGAAGAAATTGTACCAATAGGTCTTGGTTCTTTATCCGGATTGCCATTCTGAGTCTTTTAATTGGAGCATTTATTCCATCTACATTTAAAGTTAGTATTTATATGTGTTGATTTGATCCTGTCATAATGATGTTAACTGGTTATATTGCAGACTTGGTTATATGGTTGCTTTATAGTGTCAATGGTCTGTGTACTTCAGTGTGTTTTTTTAATGACTGATAATGGTCTTTCCTCCCCATATTTAGTGGTTCCTTCAAAAGCTGTTGTAAAGTCAGTCTGGGGGCAACAAATTTCCTCAGCATTTGCTTGTTCGAAAAGGATCTTATTTCTCCTTTGCTTATGAAGCTTTGTTCAACCAAACATGAAATTCTGGGTTGGAATGTTGAATACTGTCCCCCAATCTCTTCTGGCTTCCAGTGTTTCAGCTGCGAGGTCTGCTGTTAGTCTGATGAGCTTCCTGTGTAGGTGACCTAACTATTATTTCTAGCTGTCTTTAACATTTTTTCTTTAATTTCACCCTTGGGGAATCTAATGATTATGTGTCTTGAGGATGATCTTTTTGTGAAGTATCTTACTTGGGTTCTCTGCATTTCCTGAATTTGAATGTTGGCCTTTCTAGCGAGTTTTGGAAAGTCCTCATGGATGATATCCTGACTATGTTTTCCAAGTTGGTTCCATTTTCCCCATCTTTTTTCTGGGACACCAATCAGTTATAGATTATTTTCTTTTTACATAATTCTATATTCCTTGGAGGTCTTGTTCTTTCTTTTTATTTATTTTTTCCCTATTCTTGTTTGCCGATCTTATTTCAGAAATCCAGTCTTTGAACTCAGAGATTCTTTCCTCTGCTTGGTCTATTCTGCTCTTAATTCTTGTGATTGCATTAAGAAATTCTTGTAGTGTGTTTTTTGGCTCTATCAGGTCAGTTATTTTCTTCTCTAGACTGGCTATTTTTTCTGTCAGATCCTGCATTGTTTTATTATGGTTTTTAGCTCTTTGTATTGGGTATCATTCCAGCCATCTCAGCCTCAGCCCAGTTCTGAATCCTTGCTAGAGAGATGATGCAGTCATTTGCAAGAAAGAGGGCACTCTAACTTTTTGAGTTTTCAACTTTCTTACACTTTTCTTTCTCATGTTTGTGGGTTTATTTACCTTCTATCTTTGAGATTGCTAACCTATGAATTTTTTCTCTTTTATGCTATTTGATGACCTTGAGGGTTTGATTGTGTCATAAGGTGGATTCAGCTAACTGGGTTCATTTCCTGGAGGTTTTAGGGGGACCAAGGATCAGCTCTCAACTCCTGGACTTCATGCTCGAAGTGGGGGACTTGTATCAGTTCCAGACATTGTTCTCTGTCTCCTTGAGTTATGGAGTCCACTGCACCAGAAGGTGCAGAGAGTGGAAGCACCTGCAGTAGAGTGCTAGTAAATGCAGGTGTGCCTGCCTCCCTGCAGGCATTCACCACAGTGGCAGATGCAAGAAAACTCTGGGGGATGCAGGGGGCTCCTGTTGGAGACTGTGTGCACCATTGCACTGAAGGTGGTGTTGGTTTGGGTTGGAGTGCTGGCTGGCACTGGTCTGGGTGTCCTTTCTGTGACCTGCAAGCAGTTGTGATTACTCAGGTTGTAAAAAGGTCCACTGTTCTCTGTGCAGTTTTAGCACAAGGGTGTGGTACATTCAGGGGCTGGGTTTGCTGGCTCTGTGCCCACCAAGGCTGTATCTGTGATGGTGATTAGTTGCGGGGGTGCTGGTGGTGGACTACACTTCTGCGTGCTGGAAAGGCAAGTAAAGCAAAACCTTCCCATATAGACACACACCTGTGGGGAGATGCTGTGGGCTTTGGGGAAGCTGCAGTATCAGGAGGGAACATGTGGGCTCGTTCATGGATGTAGAAGCCACCTCGCTGGAGCTCTCTATTGATCAGGCACAATCCACTGTTGTAGAAGCTATGATGTGTGCCCCCGGGTCACCCAAGACTTCCCTGTTAAGCAGGCATGGCCAGGCCGTGGCCCTGGGAGAGGCCAGCAGACCAAGGAGTGCTCAGATTGGGCCAGCCCCATCTTAGTGCAAGACTGCCCTGCAAAGACAAGGTCCGACAGTTCCCCTAGGACTAACATCTCTTATGGGAGCAAGACAAGCCTAGAGCGATGGCCATCTCTGATCATGCTCCACTAGAGATGTTACCACACCAAACCCTATAGGCTTCACATCATCTAGCTTGCTGCCCCACCACTTAAATGAGCAGCCTTCCCTGCCACCTTAAGTGTCTGCTGTGGTCAATGGGTCCCCTTCTTTTGGGGTCCCAAAGTTCTGTTTTGAGAGTGGGTTGCTCCTTGCCAGGTAAACTCCTCCATTCTGCTGGAGTTGTTGTGGTTAAAAAATGAGTCTCTGTGCACAGTAACCAATGAGGGGTTCCCAGTTTTCTTCCCCTTCAGCCTAGCTTCTGTGTCTTTTCTCTGCCCACTCTCAGCACCTTCCCTCTAAATATCTTTTAAAAGCATGCCAGCAGTCTCAGTCCCTCCATGGGAGCTGTTCCACTTGTGTGCATCTAGTCAGCCATCTTGCTCTTCCCTAGTAATTGTTTTATGAATCTGGGATCTTCAATGTTAGGTATATATATAATTAGAATTGTAATGTCTTCTTGTTGGAATGATCCTTTTATCATTATATAATGACCCCCTTTGTCTTTTATTATTGCTGTTGCTTTAAAGTCTGTTTTATCTGATACAAGAATAGCTACTACTGCCTGCTTTTGGTTTTTATTTTTATTTGCATGGAATATCTTCCACCCCTTTACCTTGAGTTTATATGAATTCTTACATTTTAGTTATCTTGAAGACAGCAGATATTTGGTTTTGTTTCTTTTATCCATTCTGCCAATCTATATTATTTAAGTGGAGCAATTGTCATATGCATTATATTAATTATTACCTAGTGATATGGTTAGGCTTTGTGTTCCCACACATATCTCATCTTGAGTTATAATCCACATAATCCCCAAATGTCAGGGGAGATGCAAGGTGGAGGTAATTGAATCATGGGGCAGCTTCCCCCATTCTGTTCTTGTAATACCTAGTGAGCGCTCATGGAGATCTGATGGTTTTCTAAGGGGCTCTTCTCTTTTTTCTCTACACTTCTCCTTTCTTTTGCCTCGTAAAAAAGGTGTCTTGCTTCCTCTTTTCTTTTTGTCTTGATTGTAAGTTTTCTGAATCCTCTCCAGCCAAGATGAACAGCGGTCAATTAAATCTATTTTCTTTATAAATTACCCAGTCTCAGGCAGTTGTTTATAGCAGTATTAACATGGACAAATACAATAAATTGATACTACAGGGAGTAGGGTGCTGCTATAGAAATACACAAAAATGTGGAAGCAACTTTGGAACTGGGTAACAGACAGAGAATGGAACAGCTTGGAGGGCTTAGAAAAAGACAGGAAGATGTGGAAGGTTTGGAACTTCCTAGAGTCTTGTTGAATGGTTTTGACCAAAATGCTGATAGTGATATGAGTAATGAAGTCCAGACTGAGGTGGTTTTGGGTGAAGAAGAGGTAACTCTTGCTGTGCTTTAGCAAAGAGACTGGTGGCATTTTGCTCCAGGCCTTGCTATCTGTGGAGCTTTGAACTTGATAGAAATAATCTGAAATAGGAACTTATGTTTAAAAGGGAAGCAGAGCATAAAAGATTGAAAAATTTGCAGCCTGACAATGCAGTCAAAAACAAAACACATTTTCTGGGAAGAAATTCAGGCCTGGCAAATAAATATGCATAAGTAAAAAGGAGCCAAGTGTTAATCACCAAGACGATGGGAAAATGTCTCCAGGCCATGTGAGACACCTTCATTGCAGCCCCTCCCATCACAGGCCCAGAGATCTAGAAGGAAAAAATGGCATTCTGGGTCAGGTCCAGGGTCCCCATGTTGTGCGCAGCTTTGGGAATTGGTGCCCTGTGTCCCAGCCACTTCAGCTGTGGCTAAAAGGAGCCAAAGTACAGCTCAGGTTGTTGCTTCAGAGGGTGAAAGCCCCAAGCCTTGAGAGCTTTCACATGGTGTTGGACCTGTGGGTGTGCAGAGGTCAAGAAATGAGGTTAGGGAACCACTGCCTAGATTTCAGAGTGTGTATGGAAATGCCTGGATGTCCAGGAAGAAGTCTGGTGCAGAGGTGGAGTCCTCATGCAGAAACTCTGCTAGTGCATTGTAGAAGGGAAATGTGGGGCCAGAGCCCACACACAGAGTCCCCTCTAGGGCACTGCTTAGTGGAGCTGTGAGAAGAGGGCCACCATCCTCTGGACCCCAGAATGGTAGATCTACCGACAGCTTGCACCATGTGCCTGGAAAAGCCACAGACACTCAATGCCAGCCCATAAGAGAAGCAGGGATGGGGGCTGTACTCTGCAAAGCCACAGGGTCAGGGCTGCCCAAGATGGTGGGAGCCCACCTCTTGCATCAGTGTAACCTGGATATGAGACATGGAGTCAAAGAAGATCATTTCAGAGCTTTAATATTTGACTCCCCTGCTGGATTTTGGTCCATGGGGCCTGTAGCCCCTTTGTTTTGGCCAATTTCTCCCATTTGGAATGACTGCATTTATCCAGTGCCTGTACCACTTAGACTTCCTAGTGACTAGGAAGTCACTAACTTTCTTTTGATTTTACAGGCTCATAGACAGAAGAGACTTGCCTTATCTTAGATGAGACTTTGGTCTTGGACTTTGTGTTACTACTGGAATTAATGAAGACTTTGGGAAGGCATGATTGGTTTTGAAACATGAAAGGGCATGAGATTTGGGAGGGGCCAGGGGCAGAATTATATGGTTAGGCTTTGTGTCCCCACCCAAATCTCATTTTGAATTATAATCCCCATAATCCCCAAATGTCAAGGTAGAGACCAGGTGGAAGTAATTGGCTCATTGGGGCAGTTTCCCTCATGCTGTTCTCATGATAGTGAGTTCCCATGAGATCTGATGGTTTTATAAGGGGCCCTTCCCCCTTCACTCAGCACTTCTTCTTCCTACCACCTTGTGAAGATGGTGCCTTGCTCCCTCTTCAACTTCGCCATGATTGTAAGTTTACCATGGCTTCCCCAGCTGTGCTGAACTGTGAGTCAATTAAATTTCTTTCCCTTATAAATTGCCCAGTCTTGGGCAGTTCTTTATAGCAGTATGAAATCAGACTAATCACCTAGATACTTGGCTTTTTGTTGTTTTGTTATTGTTTTATAGGCTTTTTCAGTTTTATGCTTTCAAGAGGTTTTATTTTGGTACATATCAAGTTTTGTTTCAAGGTTTTGGACTTCTTTTAACATTTCTTGTACTACTGGCCTGATAGTAACAAATTTCCTCAGCATTTGTTTGACTGGAAATGATTTTATTTCTCCTTCATTTATGAAACTTTGTTTTGCTGGATACAAGATTATTGGCTGACAGTTATTCTGTTTAAGGAAGCTAAAGATAGGACCCCATTTCCTTCTGGCTTATAAAGTTTCTGTTGAGAAGTCTCCTGTTAGTATGATGGGTTTTCCTTTATAGGTTACCTGATGCTTTTGTTTTACTGCTCTTGGAATTCTTTCTTTCATATTGATTTTAGATAGCTTAATGAATATATGCCTTGGTGATGACTTTTTGCAATAAATCTCCCAGGAGTTCTTTGAGCTTCTTCTGTTTGAATATCAGTCTCCAGCAAGGCCATGGAAGATTTTCTGAATTATTACCTCAAAAATGTTTTTCACACTTTTAGCTTTCCCTTCTCCCTTAGGAACGCCAATTATTCTTTGGTTTGGTCATTTTAGACGATTCTGTAATTATGGAGACTTTGTTTATTTCCTTTGATTCTTATTTCTTTTGTTTTTCTCTGATTGCATTAATTTGTAAGCCTTGTCTTCAAGCTCTGAAAGTCATTCTTCTACTTGTTCTAGTCTATTGTTGAAACTTCTTTCCACGGTATTTTTTAATTCCCTGAATACATTTCCAGAACTTCTGATTGATATTCCTTAAGATATCAATCTCTTTAGAAATCTTGTTATTCACGCCTGAATTATTTTTTGTTTGCTTGTTTTACTTTCTTTATGTTGGTTTTTACCTTTCTATGGTGTCTTGTTGAGTAGCTTAATAATCAACCTTTGGGGATTCTTTATCTGGTATTTCAAATATTTCATCTTGATTTGAATCCATTGCCAGAGGGCTAGTGTGATTTTTGGAGGGTGTTATAGAATCCTCTTTTGTCATATTACCAGAATTACTTTTCTGGTTCCTTCTGATTTGGGTAGAATATTTCTTCTATTTTTTCTTAATTTTATTTTTTATTTCACTGTGTTTATTTCAAAATTGCCCTTTTTCCTCTTAAGCATATGACTTTAATGTTTATAGTTTATTGTAGTATAATTAAGCTCTTGATGCTTTCAGGATGACGGTTTTATATGAGTTCCATGGTTACAGAGAGTCTTTATATGATTGCTTTCTCAGATGCTGGTTGTAGTGGAAACATGCTTGGTGTGTGAGAAGTTCAGTCTCCTATAGAGTTGGAATGGCAGAGATCTCTTGAAACTCATTCCCTATGGTTTGCACTTTTATTTATTTATTTTTCCCCAGTATTTTATTTACTAGGTTGAATATTTTATTTACTGGGTTGAATATTCCCAAGTAATTTATTTACTGAGCCAGACTACAGTGAATGCTGTTGCTTTATTTATTTATTTATTTATTTATTTATTTATTTATTTATTTTTCCCAGTATTTTATTTACTGGGTTGAATCACTCAGGTTTCTGGCCAGTATGGGAAGCGTCTTTAGCTAAAAACTGTCTATGACTAAAGCAGGTTGGTGAATGCAATACCCAATGGTGGGCAGGGGTCCTAGCCTTGACAGAGATGGCTGGGGGAGCTCTCAGTGAGTCACACTGAGTTCTTATCAGAGGAAAGGACTGGAGCCATCTCAACTCCCCTGCCAGGACAGCAGGAAAGCAATCCACCTCCCACACATACTCTTGACCCAGTGTTCTGGGTATTCAGATCAGACAGGCATCTCTTTTATTATGCAGGAATGTTGATGCTGCAAGTAGAGACGAATGGTGACTCTACATCTCCTGCAAGCTTGCACCTGGAGGGTGCCCCTCCTATGTGGATCACCCTGAAGTGTTTCAGAAAAGCTGTCTATATGTGCACCCATGCCACTCTCCTGAGAGAAAAGCCCCAGCTATGTCTTCAGTAGTGGAAAAGGGGGGAAATATTTCCTCTTCTCCAAGACCCTTCATGAGCACCAGGGCTTCCTGACTGTTGGAGTAGAACTGCAGACTTTCCCTGCTGAGCCCATTACTGCAACTGTGCCTCTGCTGAAAAAAACATTCCACAAGTGGAAAAATCTGGGACTGAAGGCCTGCTATCCAGATACTTTTGTCCCGTAGTGTTCCCTTTACGTGACGTACTACCCCTTGCCCTAGTAGTAGGAGTCCCTGAGAGCCAGAATGTGAATGTTGTTGCTCTTCTGGGCCTAGCTGCCTAATGGGTCTGCCACACTCTAGGCTGGTGCTGGGAAATGTCTGCAAGGGATTCAGAGATGTGACCTGTCCTCAAGTCTCCCAGTATCAAGTACCAGCACCAGTTCTGATGCAGGCGGCAGGGGAGTAATGTAGACTCGTTGAGATTCTTTGGCTATGGATAGTGTTAGTGTGTTGGCTTTCTCAAATGCCAGTTGTAGCATAAATAAACTGATCACGTAGATAGTATCAGGACTTCCTGGTTAGTCATGTTGGTGCAGGCAATGGTGATAGCTGATATCATGTACAAATTTTCTCCTTCCGGGGTGCAGTGTTATCTACCCGAAAGTGCTGTAATGGACTGTGTTGGTTGGCCTCCAGCTAGGAGGTCGTGCTTGCAAAGGAGCATCAGCTGCAGTAGTAGTGATGAGATTTGTGTTTGCCTTATGTTACCCAAAGGAGGTACTCTGGTTTCTCAGGTGATGGGTGGGGACATAAAGCTCCCAAAAGTTCCTGTCTTTTGTGTTAGGCTATCAGTGTGGGTAGAGGAGCAAAATCAGGTGTGGGCTGGGTCAGACAGATCCATGCTCTGACTCTCCATATGTAGGGCAATCTGCAGCCACTGTGGGAGTTGAGGGACAGTTACCTCACCACTGATGTAATGTACCAGAGTGGAGAAAAGCTGCCTCTACTGCACAGAATAGTTTGTGCAAGAAGTGGGGCACAGCAGACATCAGTAAGCCCCACCCAGATCCCATGCACTTGGCAAGGTAGGTCTCACACCTGTAGATTTCTGCTAACAGCAGTGAGCTAAATTCCAGGACGTCTATATTCAGAACTAAGACTGCCCCAGACCAGAAGCCTCCCTGGGAAATAGCTATTTCACAAAATTCAGGTAGGAGCTTCTTTCAACTTGCAAATGTTGCCTGAGTTAATTGGGTGACTTCCACAAGGTCCCACACAAGGCTCTTCCCATTCCTCACTGCTCCCTAAATCAGTACCAGCTCTGTGTAGCGTTCAGGCTTTTCCTGAGGCCTGGATTTCCAGGTTCCCTGGTGGGAGGGTATATCCTGAAGCACTCTCTTTCCCTCTCACATTCTGGGAACTTAAAACAGTTTTTTGCCTGCCTCACAATGTAGGCTGCAGCATGCAGCTTCTTTCAGAGAATTGGTGGATTTCAGTTTTCCTGTTAAGTTTCTGCATTTCTTCTTGGAAATAGAGTTCACAGTGTGAATAACTATACACTATTTTGTCTTTCCAAGTGGGAGAGTCTTGCTAACACTGACTCCAATTTGCTATCATCTTGGAAAAACAAAATAAAATACAATAAAATAATAACAATAACGAACACATATGTAAACTTGCATTGTGATTAGGATGATCAATTTACATGATAACTGTAAGAGAAACAATTATACATAAAACTATTATATATAATTGCTCAGCAGCTTGTGGGAATGAATGCCTTTTATAAGAAATTTTATCCATTCAGAATATTTGCGCCATTTTAAATATGAACTGATGCATGTAAGTATTGATAATATAGGGAAATCTATTTAAAATGATGATATAAATGCTTCATGGTGATTTAAATTTTTACATGTATATGTAACTGAATGGGGGAAATTTTGCCATTTCTATTATAATCCAATGTTTTTACTGATTTCTTAAAAAACGAATGTCTCAGAAATAGCACACTAAAATGTATTTCTGATATTAGTACTTTCTAAAACAGAACAGAAAATTTTTCAAAGCACATTATATATCTATATGCGCAATCAGAATTTGAATTTGTTAAAAGTAATTAGGTTGGTATAATTTCCTTTGAAAACCTAGTATTTTTCTATTTGAAAGAAACAAACAAGTTTAAAAAGTTGAAAAGCTCTTTCCATAAAATCAAAGAAACAAACAGAAGACCCTGTCTAAACGTTGAAATACAACAGGGGTAACATTCTCTGGAGTGAGACCTGCTTTATTGTTGCCATTGAGATTGTGCTCAGAAGGATTTGGTTGGAGATGGAATTTACATCTAGAAATTGTGCCTGCTGATAATCTTGAATAATTTTATTGGCTTGCTTCTCTTCGGAAAGATAAGTCCTCCAGTTGGCTACTTATGACACAGCTAAATTTGAACTTTTCCAGAGAATCTCTTTAATAAAGACATGAACTAATTACTGTGGAAATTAGGCTGAAGTAAAAATCCTACATGTGTAATGAAGAAGGATTTAGTAATTATTTTTATCCTCACGTTTAATAACGTATCAGGGCAGAGTATTATGAATCTCAATGTTACAGTATGATGTGTCATAGAAAATAACTTTTTAAAAATTATGATGTTTAAAACAAATTCTATCAGTGATAGCTTCTTTTCCTGATCTGACACTGTATATTAAAAAAAAAAATCTATGACTGCCTCTGATTAAGATGAAAGTATACTTTATACTTGTATCTCTTTGGACAGTGAAAAGCAAAGTATTGCTCTGCAAGGTGTCTGGGATTCAAAACTATGCCACAAAATTGATCAACCAAAAAATAAAAAATGCAATTGTTTTCAACATTAACATAAGGACTATATTGTTAGAATCATTAGCAAAATTTTGAAACAATTTAATTTAGTTGCATATAATAAACCAGGGTATGGATGTGTACGTCTCAGTGGTCTTAACCTTTCTACATACCCAGTAACGTACAGGTTTGTTGCAAAACATTCATTACTTTTTCATTGAAATTCAGACTGCCTCCATGTCTAATGTAGGATATTTGTCGTCAGTCTGGCCTAGAAAGGCAGTATATAAAGTAGAAAACATGATCTAACCAGATATTTTGAAAAAATAAGACAAATATATCAAAGTCAGATCATTCAGTCATGAAATAAGTATCTTTGTTCAAATAGATCATGAAATTAATCTACATGACTTGATTTTCACACCAAAAAAAGGCAATTTGGGAAAATAAGCTCAAGTATAATAGTTATAAGATGAGTGACTCTGAGTTATTAATTTGTATTAAGCCCGGGGCTCTGGAAATTATTGTATTTAGACTATTTTGTGATGATATTAACTTTTGTCCTGTTTAGTTTTCTGCAAGGAAGGTGGAGCATCAACAGCAAAACACAGAGAAAGAAGCTTCCCTTTCTAAAATCCGTGGTGTCTCTCTTTCTAAAATATAGTATATAATTCTTTTTCATTTTTACTCTTGTTTCCTCAATAAGATAAGCATATTAGAGCTGAAAAGCCTTCCAGAAGAGCAATAAAAAAGGATGAAATATTGGCTGGTGCGGTGGCTCATGCCAGTAATCCTAGCATTTTGAGAGGCCAAGGCTGGCAGATCGCATGAGCCCAGGAGTTTGAGAACCGCCTGGGCAACATAGTGAAACCCCATCTCTATGAATAAATACAAAAAATTAGCCAGGTGTGGTGGCGCATGCCCCTAGTCCTAGCTACTTTGAAGGCTGAGGTGAGAAAATCACTTGATCCTGGGTGGCAGAGACTCCTATTCTGAAGTAACTAATTTTAAGACAAATGAGAAGGATGAAATTGCTGGCAATAATTTGTCATGAATAGACTAACTGATTTTCCCCAAAGAGTGAAACAGGATGAAAGTACCAATAAATTTCAACAGAAAATTCACAAATGGTAAATATACAGTAAATTGTTAAGAAAACTTAATTTATAAGATAAAAACTTTTATTCTTATAAAAAATGAAATATCATTGTTAATTTATTTTCAAAATTTAGAAAAGCATATTGAAATAAAATATCAATATGACTTGATTTTGACACCAAAAAAGGAAATTGAGGATAATAAGCTCAAGTATAATTAGTTATAACATGATTGAGTTATTAATTCGTATCAAGCTCTGAAAATTATTGTATCTAGACTATTTTGTGATGATATTAACTTTTGTCCTGTTTGTCATTCTCCAAAAAAACACATTATGAATGTTTTATGCTGTATTCTTCTATTTTATTTATTTTACACTTTGTTTCATTTATCAAGCAAATATTTATTGAGTGTTTACCACGTGCCAGACACTAAGATACAATGTTGAGCAAAAACAGTTTGATTCCTGCTCTCAGGGAACTTGTAGGTTAAAGGCAGTGACTGGTATTAATCAAATAATTAAAGCAACAAATTAATGAGCTTCAACTAGGCTGAACATAGGAAAACCAGGCACAAGTCTATTGCTATAACCCTAGTAAGAAAAAGGCTTAGTTTGTGTTGGTAGTAGACATGGAGAGAGGTGGAAGAATTTGTGAGCTTTGTGGTCAGTAATATTTCTTTGCATAGTCCATTAACTATGGGTGTATAATGCATTAAGAATTGGGATTATTGGTATTATAATTATACATATATTATACAATGGTTTAAGATTTTAAGGAAATTTCCCCCTTCTTGAAGCTTTGTGTAATTACCCTAATGTAGCCAGGCCTACAGTAATAAGAGTGTTTTAAAATATATGTAGCATAAAAATCATAATTCCCTGTGAATTTATATACCTAGTAATAACCTAATTTTTAAATTATCATCACTAATTTAGAAAGTGTTTCATAAAGTTACTCTCCCAAATGTGTCTTGGTGTGCCTAGTTGCAAGACATCATCAATTTGAAAAATTTGGCAATTAGAAATCAAGATTAATAATTAACAAACGTATTATATAACATTCCCAATTCACAGTGCATTCTAACTTGTGAAATATTTCATAAAATGAATAATATTTTTGAGTTAAAGAACCCCAACACTTTTGTTATGAAATATCTCTTTCCTCTTCATTCTTGTTTCTTTGAAATGAAACAGCAAATAATAGTTTTCAAGATAATTTTTCACTAAAAATCAAACATTTCCTGACATTTTATATGACCTTTATCAAAAAAAATATAACCCAGAAATCACTGAAAAGTGCAATATGTATATATTACAAAGATGTATTTTAGCCAAAATGTTACCACAATAAAAGGCATTGCTGTTTGAACTTTGAATTTTCAAACTTTTTTCAATAAACTTGAGAGACAAATATATTAAAGAGATTAAAATTCTTGGAGTACTTTACAAATATTATTTATCTATAGTGTTCTCATTTCAACATGGATCTAGTTAATTTTACTATTCTCAGAGTGATTTTAGAAAATGACAGCAATTTTTTTCTCATTTTGATATGAATATATTCATATTCATTTGATATGAAAAATGTTTCTTAAAATATATCATGACAAAAATTATTAATTATGTCATTTATCTTATAGTTAATTTGATGAACAATGTCATTAGATTTTCCACCACAAAAAAAAATTCATCCTAGGTATTAAAGTATCTTTTATTGTTGTTTTATATATTTTTTGAGATAGGGTGTCTCTCTTTCACCCATGCTGGAGTGCAGTGTTGTAATAATGGCAATCAAATGATCCTTCTGTTCAGTCTCCTGAGTAGTTGGCAGTACAAACATGTGTCACACTATGCCCAGCTAATAATTAAAAAAATTGTAAAGACTGTGTCTCACTATGTTGCTCAAGCTGGTAAAGTATCTTTTGAAATAGAGTCTATACAAGGTCAATTGTTACATAGTATTTGATTTATCCTGTCCTTCTCTACCCAAAATACAAGCATATTTTAATTTCTGAATTGTTTATAAGGCAACAGAGATAGTGTTATGATAAACCAAGGTAGGAACTGACATTTGCCTCCCTCAAGAGAAGTTTAAATTATAAATCAGTATTTTATCACTGGCATATAGTTTGATCACAGGATAAAAGTGAACAATGAATGTGTTTTCTGGCCATTAAAAACCCATCACATACTAAAATTTGTTTAGTGAGAAAAAGTGTAATTCAATAAAACATTAATTTGAAAATAAGAGTTCTTAATCAAAGAACTAGTTATTAAAGATGTTTTAAGGAATGACGTCAAGGAATATTTTCAAACTAGTTAATGTAGTGGGTATAGATGTTTACACATTCCACTGGCAATAGCTATCATTGCTATTGCAATGTTCCATACTATGCAATGCTAATGCAGTGTTCCATACTATGGGATTTACCTGGCTGAGGAATTTGGGATTTAAGTCTATTTGATGTGGAGTGTCTGAGGAGGGGTTTTGTTCTTGACATAATAATAAGTAAGGGTGGCTTTGATGTAGGGCTAATAAATAAATTATTCCCCCTAGTTTGTGTAGGATGTTCCTTCTTAGTAAAGGAGTGGGACAATGGGGAATGACCAAGAAAGAGTGAGTGAAGGTGACTACCTCAAATGAGCAGTATAGTGGTGGTGTTTTGTATGGGGTTACTTGTATGTCCTTCATGCCAACAACAGAAACAGATGAATGTCCTAATGGGCCTTGATTTTCAGTTAATACTGATAGACTCGCCCCAGTATCCAAAAAGAAGGAAATAATCTTACCAGATACCATCCCAGTTACCCTGGGTTCCGTGGACTCACTGGATGTGGGGGTGAAGGATCCCGGGCACCCTCAGTCTTCCATTGTCAGTGCCAGCAGTGAAGAGATTTCCTCCTGTAATGGTGAGGGGGCCTCATTATGAGCCTCACCCAAACAGGAGGGTGTCCTCTCTGGTTGGGGGGAGGTTATCTTAGGGTTGGAATGTTTCTGGTTGGAGATGTAATTTGTGGTTTATGGTCATGCTGACCTCAGCTATTAGGCTGATGCCCTTTGGATTTAGGCAGTTTTTGATCAAGGGGAACTTTAAAATGGTGGTGCTTGTACAAGATGGCAATGCTCCTGCTCTGTCAAACATAATTTTAACAGCTGAAATAAAAGGGAATAGAAGGCTGAGTGCAGTGGCTTACACCTGTAATCTCAGCAATTTGGGAGGCCAAGGAAGGAGAATCGCTTGAACCCAAGAGTTTGAAACCAGCCTGGGAAACATAGTAAGACCTCATCTCTACAAAAATTTAAAAAAAAATAGCATGGCATGGTGGTGCATACCTGTGGTCCCAGCTACTTGGGAGGCTGAGGTGGGAAGACAACTTGAACCTGGAAGGTGAAAGCTGCAGCGAGCTGTGAATATGCCACTGAACTCCAGCCTGGGTGATGGAGCAAGACCCTGTCTCTAAGAAAACAGACAAAAAAACAAACAAATTAAATACAAAAAGAGGACCTTAATGATATAAATAATAAAATTACACAAAGACAACTTTCCAATTGTTAATGAGTCAATTTTTTTAAATATGCCCATATAGAAGGAATATTTTATAGTAGCCCATTTTAAGACATGATAAATTGAACACTAAATGCACATGCTTCGTAAACAGACTTGATTATGAGTCCTGATGCCATGTTTGTCTTAAATGAAATTAGAAACCTGTGGTGAGGTATTTTAAATCTTATATATGTGATGATACTCCCTTGAGGAAAAAAAAATATTGCAGATACTTCAGAGTTGAGAATGAGAGACAAGGGTGCCCCAGTGAAGACATGACTTCCTTTTCTCTGCTCTAGATTTTTAATGCTATACTTTCTTAGATGGAATCTCTCATTGCAGACTGAAATAGATGCTAGGTTGTTAGAATAAATGCATAGGTACTCAGAAACCTGGTACAGTGGTGGCATTAATGATTTTTGAATATGGACCATTCTTTGCCTTCAATTACCTCTCCTATTTAGTCTGATAAATTAAGATTATCATATTCTCTTTTGGAGTAAATTTCTAAGTTACTTACAGGTACCTATTGACACATATTTGTGTTACTTCAATGAGAGAGTACATTTATTCATTGACAATCATAAACCTACAACCTAGATTGATTTATCAAATCACAATATTCAACAAAGAACCATGTCCTGAGGAAAAGAGGATCAAGACAAGTGGTAAAAAAGAAAAACCAAAGAAAAGCCATTAGCTCAAGCCGTCATTGAAACCTTTTGAATTGACGACAGCTCAAGATGACTGTTCTGGGTGGAGCAAGATCATTAAAAATTCATAAACTTGATCAAAAAAGGTTAGAGTTGAGTTTAAATTTGAGAATTGGTCATTGACCAAATTCATGGAAAGTATGGGAAAACTGAGGCTATAGTAATAATAGCACAGGCAGGAGGAACAATGAGACTAGGCTTTTAGTTTTAGAAGCCATGAGTTGGTCAATTGGATTTGACAAGAGGGATGGGGAAGACACTTGGAACTCCATGAAAAACTTTTAGTCCTGCCGTATTTTCACAAAGGCAAGTTTGGATAGCTAAGAAGAAAATACAAGTGAAACTTAAATGGACTGCTGTGGGAAGGTAGGTCTGCGAAGAGTGAAATGTGGCCTCTGCAAACTTAGAGGTCAGCACAAGAATACTGGATTTCTGGGTTGAGGGCTCTACAGGAAGAATGCTGAGAAAGACAGTAAAAGCAAACAGAAACAGAAACAGACACAGACCAAATACATATTTTATTCTGAGTATCTTTCTCCGTTTAAACAGATTTCTCTTTTGTCTCTCTTCCTATTATCTGCTTTAAAAAAGCTCTAGATGAGGCTGAGACTAAAACACCTGGGTTAATTCCAGAGAAGGAGCTCAGATGTAGGCTTTGAATGTATTCAAACTAGAGCCACAGTTAGATTTTTAGAATAGCTTTTTGGAAAAGACAATGTGCATTTAGGTTTGTGCTTTGCTGCAATCTCCTATAACATGTTTCAATTAGTCGGTCAAAGATTTTTACCACAAATGTTAGTACTAGACACTGTAGAGTTAACAAAGAATTGACTCTGAAGGAAGGAAAAGATAAGACCTCTAATCTGGCCTTTCTATATCTCCAAATACCTTAGAGATTTTTGGACTTCAGCCTTCTGTTATATGTATTGCTACCAAATCTCAGCAGAATTTTTTTTCTTCAGTACTTTAAGGTTAAAGCCTGTAGCAACTTTTATTCAGTTGTCACCTTTGACCTGTTTCTTAGTGTCCTCATTTTTTCATCCATCACTGATTCCTGGAGTGTTTTCTGAATAAGAGGAAGAGCCCCAGGGATACACACTGTCAGGATATTAGGCTATGTATAGTATCCTTTTCTATATCCCTCTTACATGTTTAACATATAATACAGAGGGCTAGATGAGTTCACTGAGGCATTCCTGTGATTCACAACAGCAGGCACAATTCACAGGCTCTGTCTGAAGTCTCTGGGCTTGGAAACGATCATTTGGACAGGTTTTCCTGAAGATAATTGAAAGTAAATACATTTATTACTAAACCTCCTTGATTCACTTAATTATGCACTAATGATGTGAAATGGCCTTTTAAAGAGGGTTGGGGATCCCTTTTGCAGTGTTGTAGCTTATTGTGCAATTTACCTCCTCACTCAGAACTAGCATCTTTCTCTTTGGGATCGTCTATATTCACTACAAAATCTGAGTGTGTTAAACAGATTATTACACCTACTAAAAACTTTTCCGAATGTGGACTAGAAGAAAATATAAATAATGAGTTCATTATAACAACCTTAATGGAGCTATTTTAAGGTCAGGGAGCAGACACCCAAGCAAAGTTCACTGATTTATAAATCTTCCGAATTTAAGTAACGTATTTCCACCCAAATAAATGTCTTACATTGACCTAGTAGCTGTTAAATCTATTGTTGTTAATAAATTCTGTAATATACAAATTACCTCCCAATGTGCTTCATACTCCCATGGAATATAAGATATAATTAACCTTGTATGTTCACTTTAAAAGTAATGTAGTATCAAGATAGATTTGATGATAGCTTTAATAATATCATATTATGGACAAACAATATATTTGCATTTATTGTAAGTTACAGAATATATATTAATCAGAGTTAGACTATGTAATAGGTCTATTTTTTCACTAAATATATCCATGTTTTCAAGTACACGTTATACTATAGTATACAAAAACATCCTCACAATCTATCTTTAATAAATCATTCATGAAATTGGAAGGATAACATGACTACGTAATGACAGGACAGTTGGTCAATGTAAAGCATGGATTTGGGCCAGAAAATCTAAACAGCTATTCTTTGCAAAGAAAGACCACAGGGAAGCTGTAATACACCTAAAGATAAAAACAGTGAGATGAGGAAGCAATGTCAGCTCTCCATTTTCTTTACACTCTTGCTATGCCCAGCCAGTCATAGCATGAGTAGAATGCTTACCAAAACCATCTAAAGAAGCTTCCAAAAATAGGATTTACCTATGCTCTGGGCCAGACTCAGGCAGTTGGTTGGACGCTTTGGCTTACTTGAGTCCTCAGATTCTTGGCCTTCTCAGAACTCTATGCACAAGGTTACTATAGCAATAAGAAACACCTTTATTCTCTCACCATCAAATCCACGAACCTATGAACATCTGTATTTTTCTACTCTCTAGCATTCTTTCTTCATATGTCTTTGAGATGTGAAGCTTTTTGGATGATGGTAACCTTGCACGTCTTCCTTTCTCATTCCCATAACAGAGTTGCAGCAAATATCTAGCTCAAAATAATGACTTCTCCATCCCCTACCAGGTTGAGGATATAAAATTTAGTTCACATCTCAGCTTGACACCACTGTGTTACAATCTCCAGCTCAATATCAACATGACAAATAAACCTAAGAATGGTGAAACAGGGAAGAGACATGATATGAAATTCAATACATTATTGTCCAAATACAAACCCTACCACTTGCTAGCCACTCGCTAGCTCTATGGCCTTGGGAAAATCCCTTCACTTCTTTCAGGCCTAGTTTTCTTATCTATAAACTGGACATCATAAAATCTAAGTTTTTTTTCAAGTATAACATTCTCTAACTTTTTAAACTACCTTAGTTGGAAATCTGAATATAATTGATAGATAATCTGCATGGCAAGCATAAGACATAGAGACCAAGAAAGGCCAAGATATCACAAAAACCTCCTCAATATTAAGCACTTTAGTGGGTATGGTGGGTGGGAGAAGTAAAAAATTATCGGCACCTGGAATAGACAAGATGGGCTTCTAGAAATATAAAAAATAAAATAGGTTTTGACGTAACTATATTTGTATCACTAGACAAAAAGAAGAAACGTCTGCTAAATGAGGTAAAGCAAAGACCAGCAGGTTGAAATAAATATATTATATTGGATACAAATTAAGTGGAATGGGTCCATTGAAACAGAAGGTTAATATTTGGTAGTAGTTAAGAATCAGTCTTATTCTAGGTGTTGACTTAATAACTAATCAACTCTCAATCAGTGAGAAAAATAATCAGAGGAACCATGTGACACAATGAAAGAAAAAATATCTTTTTCTAATAGTTGCTACCCCAAATTCCATCCAGATAGGGCATTAGCCTTCTCAAAAGTCCTTACTGATACATTCCTTGAACATGTATTGTCTACTATGTGCCAGGCACTCTGATAATTACTGGAGAATGTTTTCAGTTTCGCTTGTGAGGAACACAGAGGAAAAGCAAATAAATTATATGAAAGAGATGTTATTACGTATCAGTAGAAAAGTATTCATTATTTAATATAGTGTGAGTCTATCACAAGATGAAGTCCCACGATAAGCCATCTGCAAGCTAAGGAGCAAGGAAGCCAATCCGGGTCCCAAAATTTCAAAAGTAGGGAATCTGACAGTGCAGCCTTCAGTCCATGGCTAAAGGTCCGAGAGCCCCTGGAAAACCACTGGTGTAAGCCCAAGAATCAAAAAGCTGAAGAACTTGGAGTCCTACATTTGAGCGCAGGAAGCATCCAACATGGGAGGAAGATGAAGGTAGGAAGACTGAGCCAGTCTGGTCCTTCTACATTCCTCTGCCTCCTTTTATCCTAGCTGCACTGGCAGCTGATTAGATGGTGCCCACCCAGACTGAGGGTGTGTCTGCCTCTCCCAGTACACTGACTCAAATGTTAGTCTCCTTTGGCAACACCCTCACAGACATACCCAGGAACAATCCTTTGCATCCTTCAATCTAATCAAGTTGACACTCAGTGTTAACCATCACAATAACTAATAATCTCATGATAAAAAATCCAAAGCTTTCTTCATCACAAAATTCACAGACATAAATTTCCATAGATTTAAAAGCAAATCATAAAAAGACTTTTTAAGTCTTAGAAAAAATACTTTTTTACCTCAGGGTAGAAAAAGATTAACTTAAACACAAAAAACACAAGTCATAAAGTGCTGATAAATTCTGAATGGCAAAATGTAGGATAAGCAGATATGAACCACAATCTGGAATAAGATATTTGAAATGTATACCAGAAAATAATATTAGCAAACATATTAACGAACTTCAAGATATCAATAAAAAGAAACCTCAAACAAAAATTGTCAAATATATGACCAAGCACTTCATAGAAGAGGAAATCAAAATGGACCAGAAACATGAGCATGCTCAAAATTACCAATAATTAGGTAAATGCAGATTAATACAAAATTATTTACAATTTCACAACCATCAAACTGACAAAAATATTAAAAAATGGATCATACTTAGAGTTAATGACAATATGGAGAATTAGAAACTTTCACTCACAGTTGCTGGAAGTGTGATTAGAACAACACTCTTGATATGAAATTGAGAACTATCAGGGGGATTAAAATTGCATATAATTTACAACTATTTCTACTCTCAGTGACATACAGTGCAGAATTTCATACATACATAAAAGGAGATATATACGAATGTTTGTTATATGGCAACAAATACGGCCATATTACTAGTTTTTCAAAGAATGAAAAATTACAATTAACATCTTCAGAAGCTCAGGTGAGCCAGGAATGAGCTAAGCTATCAGGCAGTGGAGTAGACAATTAAAGCAAGTCAATAATGAAACAGTTTATGCTTGATCACTTACTGCAATGTACAGACAAGAGAGGAAACTGGAGAAACTTGGATTTCTCTTATGGACAGTTGCACTGGTTGAGGCTCAGCAAAGATAAAGGGGTCCTCTCCCTGCTGAGGGAGCCCGAAACAGAAAGCCCCTGCAGTTTTATGAACCCAGGGCCAGAGGCAAGCAGAAGGAGAAGGGTTAAGAGTGTAAACATACTGGGACTAAGTCAGAGTGGAGAGAAGTCTCTTCAAAGTTTCCCCCTGTCAAAATTAAACATAGACAAACATTGGATAAAAACAGGTTTTATTCAGTAATTACTGACTGTAGGGGAAAGAACTGAGCTCCATTCCCATTTGTGGAAACATGCCTGAACATTTTCAAGGGAGCGTGAAGGAGGAGGGACTCTGGGCACTCAGTAGAGTCAAAAAAGCGAAAATGTACGAAGGGTTGGTTAATGTAAACATGATTAGGCCAGCTGTGTCTGCTTGCTGGAAGTTATGGAAGTTAGGATGCTATACTCTCACAGAGACTAGGAGAGAGGCCTTATCCTTCTTGTTGATTACATTTCAATGGAATGGCTCTTGTGTCCTTGAGAAAGATCATTCTGAGTTGCAAGAAATACATGTTCACAATTGTAAGCCCTTTTTAGAAAATGCTCTAAGAAAGGGAGGTCCAGGGTCTATCATCAGGTGCTGACTAGAACAAATAATAAATTTCCTTTGTAGCCTTAAGTTTTCCCAGGCAGGCATATAAATAGGGGGCTGGGATAAACTTAGGGACACAGCCTTAGGCTGTTAGATGCCATAGCAGAATTTGGTCAAGTCTCTTAGTGCAGGGATTTGGATGGAGTTGTTATGTGACAATAGTCCTGTAGTTCTTATCTCTCATTCCCCCCATTGGGAGGCATTGGAAAAAATGCCTGAAAAGGGTCTCAGATAACCAGACCTAGGAATAAAGATATTGGGGCTACAGTGTTTGTTAGGAGTGTCTGAAGTGGGAGGGACAGTGTCATAATATTTATGAGGTTTTAGGGTTTGGTTTAAGATGATTTCTTCAATGTGAGGGCTTGATTAGGATTAGGTAATGATTATGTAATAGTTATGAGTTAGGAGACACTGTAAGATGAGAATTTTCATCTCAGAGATTGAAAGAGGGTACTATTATTTGATGTTATCCATTGAAAAACTGAGCCGTTTCCAGTGAGTTTGGGGAAAGTTCTTGAAAGTAACAATAAAGTTATTTACAACTCTTCTCTTCCTGGGAAAAAGTTAAAATAGTAAAGTAATGTTAGTGAAACCAGCCTAAAAATATAGACATATTAATGTGGACGGTAAGCTATATGTGTTTTGGTTCTCAACTACAAATGTGTGGTACTACCTCAAGTTCCCTTTAATAATATATTATGATTAGACTGATTTTTATTAATGGTTTTGTGATTATTTGTAAGGTTTAGAAGTTGTTATTTAAACCTTATATTTAAATCTTATATGTCCGAACATTCCCTGCATTTTTTTCTTAAATAGAAATTTTTCCATTAAATATTTCAGTTACAAGAGAGGTATTTATTTTTCTTATTTTATGTTATACTTTTTCTCATAAGGTTTATTCTATTTTATTAAGCCTTTCATTATAATTGTTGTTAAAGGTGTTTGGCAACAAGAAGGACAAAAGAGAAGTAAAGACTAATACTCTCTCAGAATTGAATTTTTCTTGTCATTCAAACTTAGTGAGAAAACAAATAAAAATACAGGCGAAATAAGTAGGCATTCAACAATCATTTAACAAATAAATAAATATGTACCTTAAAATGTGTATGATTTTTAAGAACAACCCAGTAAATGGCAGGATGCCACTTGCGGTTGATTTCATACTTGGGTTTCAGTGATCAAACCAACCCAACAACCAAATAAGAAATAGCATTACGAGTTTGGGGTAGGGGGAGTGTATTAGCCGCATTTCCATATTTCACAAATTTGAAGCTAAACATCTGCCCTATATGCGTATGCCAGGCATACCTTGTTCTGAGCAACCAAATAATATGCTCATGTCATCTTGCCCTGGCTCCCCGTCTTCCTTGTTGACTCTCCTTAGTAACAGTTTGCTTCTCAGGTTTGTGCTTTTTAAATACAAACCAACCAATCCAGAGCCCACAATCCCAACCATCTCTTTCATCAGGCTCTTATACTCGAGACCACTGTTCACCTGCCCTAAGCACCCCCATGGCCAGGCACCAGACCAATAGAGACAGTCCCTATGCCCCAGAGCCTGCTGAAAGTATTCAAACGGGCCAGTCCTCAGCCTGCTTACCATGCGTCATCTGTCATTTCCCACACAAATCACAAAAAGGCTCTTCTCACAGTCTTTCTCCCTCTGCCTCCTGACCAACTCCAGTGCTGTCCTGTGCCCCTCACTTCCATAGCTTGTCCCCTCCCTTTGAGAACTGTGAGTAATAAACTATCTCTTCAATGACAATTTCCTCCTGAACTTTTGGCCTTTCTATACCTCAGCTTTTCTATTTCACGCTCTCATTTAATTCAGGTTATGTCATATATATATATGTATATATATATGTATATATATGTATATATATATGTATATATATGTATATATATATGTATATATATGTATATATATGCATATATATGTATATATATGTATATATATATGTATATATGTATATATGTATATATATGTATATATATGTATATATATGTATATATGTATATATATGTATGTATATGTGTATATATGTATATATGTATATATATGTATATATGTGTATATATGTATATATATGTATATATATGTATATATATGTATATATATGTGTATATATGTGTATATATGTGTATATATATGTGTATATATGTATATATGTGTATATATATATGTATATATGTGTATATATGTATATATGTGTATATATGTATATATGTGTGTGTATATATGTGTATATATGTATATATATGTGCGTGTATGTATGTGTATATATGTATATATATGTGCGTGTATTTATATGTGTGTATATATATGTGTGTGTGTGTGTATATTTATATATATACTATATGTATATATATACTATATGTATATATATATACTATATGTATATATATATACTATATGTATATATATATACTATATGTATATATATATACTATATGTATATATATATATACTATATGTATATATATATATACTATATGTATATATATACTATATGTATATATATATATACTATATGTATATATATATATACTATATGTATATATATATATACTATATGTATATATATATATATACTATAGTATATATATATATATATACTATATGTGTATATATATATATATATATAGTTTTTCCTGGGTTCAGATTTAGATTTTAATTTCATCATATAACATTTCCAGATTTGACAAAAAGAATGACCACCACAAATGTAAGAAGAACCCAAGACTAGGATAAATATAATGTTTTCCCCAGGAAATAATAGTTAATATTGAATATTTATAATGTACTGGGAACTAAGTTAAAATTTTCATGTTCGTTATTTCATTTAAATCTTACTATTACTGTATGAAGTCTGATGATTACTATCAACATTTTATGGAAAAGGAAACAGAGGCTCAAGGACATTGAGTGTCTTCCTCAACATCACAAAGCTTACATGTGGCAGAATTGGTACTCAAAGCCAGACAGAGTACAGAGCCTGCACTCTTAACATTTGTACACAAAATTTTTCCTAGAATAGCAATAACCAACAAAAATCACAATGGTGATTTTATATATATATATATATATATAATATATGTAATTATGTACATATAATTATCAACATTGATTATGCTATTACTAGGCATTAGGTGATACTATACCACTGAAAAGTGATGGACCCAGGATTCAAGCTAAAGCTAGTTAACCTAAAAATGTGTGTCCTTTTAAGTATCAGTGTTATTTTTCTCATTTTGCCCCAGTAAAGCTTTCATCACTAAGAGTATTTGGGAGCCACTTTGTTGTGCTATAACAAATTTTCCTTTTTCAATAAAGAAAGATTTGTCCAAGATAGATTAAAATAACATTAATTTAAGTGATATCTAATTATAGAAGTCTCTTTCACATTTATTTCTCCAAAGAAAAGTACCAATTCCTGAGCAAATAAAAACTAATTTGACATCTGGAATCATGTTTATCAAGCTTAGCAAATCAGGGGTTCTTTTAAAACCAAAAGACGACAACTTTGAAAAAATTGTAGGCAACCAGAGGATTCAGATACTTTTTCCAAAAGATTTAGCCCTTTATTTTTATTTTTCTCCACCTTAATTGAGGTGTAATTGACAAATAAAATTTGTGTATATTTAAGGTGTGCAACTTGATGTTTTGATATTCACAATACATTGTGAATTGATTGCTATAATCAAGCTAATTAATATACCCATTAATTCACATAGATGCCTTTTGTGTGTGTGGTGAAAATACTTATCTCTTAGCAAATTTCTAGTATACAGTACATTATTACCAACTGTAATCAACATGTTGTATAATAAATCCTTAGAACTTAATCATCCTATAACTGAAAGTTTGTGCAATTTGATCAACGTCTCCCCATTTCCCCCACCTCCCAACCCCCAGTAACTACCCTTGTACTGTCTATTTTTATGAGTTTGAGTTGGTAAGATTCTACTTATAACTGACATCATGCAGTATTTGCTTTCTGTGGCTGGCTTATTTCACTAGCATTATGCCCTCCAGGTTCATCCATGTTGTCACAAAGGACAGGATTTTATTCTTTTTTATGGCTGAATAATATTCTATATATATGGTGTGGAGAAAATGAGGGGATATTGATCAAAGTGCACAAACTTTCAGTTGTAAGATGAATAGGTTCTGAGGATCTATTTTACAGCATGGTGACTGTAGCTAATATGTTGTTATATAATAACATATATGATAATAATGTAAGTATGTGTGTGTGCCACATTTTCTTTATTTATTCATCAATTGATGCACACTTAGGTTGTTTCCATGTCTTGGCTATTGAGAATAATGTTCCAAGGAACATAGGAGTACAGATATCTCTTTGACATACTGATTTTATGTCCTTTGGATATATGCCCAATGTTAGTCCTAACTGCACCATTTTGTAAGCTCCCTGCTATTTTGCAGACCTTGGTCAAAGTGAAACAATTCATGGGGGTTCGGGCCTTGATAAACCACCTGACCACAAGGTGGACAAAGGCCCAACTGAAGAAAGAGCCTGCCTCTTATCATATTCTGCTGGGAGAAAGTACAAGGAGTACCACGTTCTGCCGGAACAAGGGCCAGAACCACCTCATCATGGGGACATCTTATCAATATCCTTCCAGGCAGCAAGCCATATTGCTCAGACCCCTCCTACCCATACCTAGAAATTACCCCAGCCTGTAAGCAGCAGCGGGCACTGACATAGGCTGGTCCCCCACTTCTGTAGGTTTTATCCTGGACATAAAGCCTGCATTTGCTGTGAAGCTCTTTTTGTGTGTGTGTCTTTCTTTAACCCTCACCTTCCCTTCAAAACCTAACATTTTGGTGCTGAAACCAGGTATGAGGATTGAGTTCTAAGGTGTAAGTCTTCTCTTGTAACCTGGAAAGTAGCAAACAGCAAAAACTAGACCCGGGCCTGCTTCCTGATCCAGAGTGGACTCCCTGTTCCCAGCCCCATTCGCCTTATTCTCTCTTCTTCTCTGGCCCTGGGCTAACCTCCAGACCCTGGTCAAACTCTCCGTCCTCTTTTTCTTTCTTCCTCTTTCCAAGCAGCTCCAGCAAGGATTGATCCCATTGTTGGACATCACATCCAACACTGGTCTCCAATTAGTGGATGAGTTTCCCTTTCCTCTTTTCTGAATTCCTCTCTGTTTCTTCTGGTTCCAGAAAATCCCAGCGCTAGGTGAGAGGTCTCCCTGGTCACCAGGTGACCGCAGCCCACCTTCTCAGGGGACGCCCTCAGAAAGCTTGCCACTCCAGCTGCTCTGGCCACTCTGGCCTCCAGGGGACAGCAAAGATCTGCAGGGATGCCCTGGCTCTCCTATGTCCCTTATCCAGGGAGGAATGGGGTACTCACTCCCCTCCTCTAAATTTCTCACCCTTCCAGTCACCAGTATGGGGCAAGGCTCTTTAAAACCACCTGGAGACACCACTCTCGAATGTCTCATCTGGAACCTCCAGGCCCAGGGCTTAGAGGACTCCATTAAAACTGAACACCTTATTTACTCCTCTTACATGTCTCATCTGAATTCTCCAAGCCCAGAGCTTAGTGGACTCCTTAAAACCAAATGCCTTGCTTTCCTCTGTACTTTTCCTCTGTAATGTTGCCTAGCCCCAATGTAAATTGGACAATAATAATCAATGGCCAAAAATCAAAACATTTATTTCTAAATTCAACAAAATCTAAAAAACTTCCAATGCAATGGTAAATGATCCAAAGTGCTTTGCTTATCTCTGTTCGTGGCTCTCTATCTCTGCTAATTCTGTTAACCTTTTCAAATCCTCCTCTTCAGCAAAAAACCCACAAAAATGCCTCCTCCCCTGGACATGCCTTCCTCCTCTAATTTCAACCCGGCCAACAAACCGTGTCTCATGCCCAACCCCCTTCCGACAAAAACCAGGCACATGCTCAAAGGCCCTCCAAAGTCTTCCCTTTATAAGAGGTGACAGGGAGGAAAGCATAATCTGAAATCATGTTCCCTTCTCCCTAGCCAACCTCTCTCAGCTTGAAAAGAGACTAGGCTCCTTTTCCACGGATCCCACCTCTTACCGCAAAGAAGTTCTGCATTTCACTCAATCTTATAACCTTACCTGGCATGACATATATGTCATCCTCTCCTCCATCCTCACCCCGGAAAACAGGGAACACATCTGGATGTCCTCCCAGGTCCATGCAAACACCTTCCACCAACAAGATGCTGCCCATAACCCAGTAAGGACCCTAGGTGCCCCCAGAACTGATCCCAGTTGGGATTATCAAGCAAATTTTGCAGGCAGACAGAAACAAGACCATATGATATCTCTAGCCATATTATGCCTCTTAGTTGGCATAAATAAAGCCATTCCTGCTCTTTTCCTTTCCCACCTTTCAGAGGCCGTAACTAAATCTACCACTTTATGCCCTAATACCAATAAGGGCAGAATCTATCTCCATTTTCACTTCATTTCCCAGTAAGCCCCAAACATCAAATAAATAAATAAATATATAACTGGAGGATGGCCCTCAAATCTCCCAAAGAGACTTAATCAAAGTGACCTTTAAGGTCTTTAACAATAGAGAGGAAAAACTGAAAACCCAAAAGCTTAAAACAGACCGGGCTAAATACCAAACGCTGGCAGCTGCCAAATAACAGGGTTCCCAATGCATACAGAAATCCTCAACCTTACAACAAACTCTGCCGGAAACCTGTTTGAAGTGCAGCCAACAGGGTCACTGGGCAAAAGCCTGCTCTAATCCCAGGCCACTCTCAAAACCTTACCCCATCCATGGCATCAACGAACACTGGAAGTCGGACTGTGCTCTGCAAAACTCATCATCCCACTTCATCACCTATAACTGAAGAATGCTGGGGCCCGGAATCCACTGTCCCCACTGTCCCCACTGCCATCACCACCACGGAACCCAAGGTAACGCTGTCAGTCACTAGTAAGCCCATGTCTTTCCTATTGGATATGGGGGCTAGTTACTCAGTTTTACCAGAATATTCTGTACCCCTCCTCAGTTCTTCTATCTCTATTGTGGGAGTCAATGGAATCCCCTCTAGGCACAAACAGACTGGTCCTCTATAATGCAACCTATTCAACACCCTCTTCACCCACTCCTTCCTGGTTATCCCTCAGTGCCCTTCCCCTATCTTGGGGGTGAGACCTACTAAGTAAGTTCCAGGCCTCCAGACAATTTGCCTCCTGCAATTCTACCTTTTTTATTTTACTCTGCCACGCAGATGCTTCCCTCTCCTCCCCCTCATCCTCATTATCTGCCCTGTTAGCTTCTGTTAACCCTGAAGTGTAAAATGTTTCTAAACCCACAATAGCCACACATCACATCCCAGTCAAAATAACCCTCCAAAACCCTTCCATTTTTTTCATCAGTCTCAATATTCCCTTAACCCAGCCAGCCTCTGGGGCCTTAAACCTATCATCTGTAAACTTTTACAAGCTCAAATTCTCAAGCCTGTCAACTCTCCTCACAACACCCCTATCTTGGCTGTCAAAAAGACAGATGAGTCCTACTGCTTGGTCCAGGATCTCTGAGTTGTTAATCAGGCGGTGGTGCCAATTCATCTGGTTGTCCCCAACCCATATATTTACTCTCCCTTATTCCTCCATCTATCACACACTTCTCTGTATTAGAACCAAAGAACACTTTTTTCATTATTCCCTTAAATCTGGCACCCCAAAGCCTTTTTGCTTTCACTTGGTCAAATCCTTATACTCACATGTCCACCCAACTAACATGGACTGTACCCCCACAGGGGTTTCAGGATAGTCCCCACCTGTTCAGGCAGGCCCTCACCAAGGGCCTAGCTAAATTTCCCCTTGCCTCTAGCACCCTCCTCCAATACATCAATAACCTCCTTCTCTGTAGCCCCTCCCTTCACCTGTCCATCTTATACACCACTCAGCTTTTAAACTTCCTCCATAGTCGAGGATATCGGGTCTCACCCACAAAATTTCAGGTAGCCCAAACCCAGGTCACTTACCTTGGACTTGCCCTAACCCCTAATTCTCGGGCCATCCGAACCCAACAAAAGGAGCTAATTTGGGACATACCCCTTCCCCACACAAAGAAGCACTTCCTCTCCTTCTTGGGCCTTATGGGATACTTCTGGCTGTGGATTCCCAATTTCGACATACTGGCCAAGCTGCTCTACACAGCCTCACATAGACCCATTACAAAACCCCTTGATTCAGCTTGCCCCATCAACTACAACTGTAAAAAAAATTAAAAATGCCCTTTTTGTAGCCCCAGCACTGGGACTGCCCAACCGCACCAAGCCCTTACTCTGTATGTATATTCTAACTAAGACCTTGCTCTTGGACTACTTTGCCAAACATACAGCAATGTCCCACAAGCCACTGCATACCTCTCAAAACTACTGAATTATGTCATCCAAGGCTGGCCGCCCCGCTTAAAAATCTTGAGTGTGGCCACATTGTTTGCCTCAGAGGCACAGAAACTCACTCTCTACCAACAGCATTACTATTGCATCTTCCCATAACCTACAGGAACTCATGAGCCATCAATGCCTTCTATGCCTCCCACCATCCCGCTTACTGCAGGTACACGCCTTATTCATAGGAAACCCTCTAATCACCTTCCAGAGATGTAAAGCTCTCAACCCAGCCACCCTCTTCCCTGTAAACATCTCCAAGTCTGAGCTCTCTCACTCATAAAATCCAATGCTCTCCCACGCCATACTACCTCTCACAGGTGGAGCTAGTTGCATTAACCAAGGCCCTAACCCTAGCAAGGGAAGAAGGCTTAACATTTACACCAATTCCAAATATGCATATCACATCCTACACTCTCATGTCTTAATCTGGCAGGAAAGGGGTTTTCTAACCACAAAAGGTACCCCCACAGGAAATAACAAACTCATTTACAAGTTGCTGGAGGCGGCTAAACTCCCACCACAGGCTGCCATTTTCTATTGTAAGGAACACCAAAAGGCTACAGATGCCATAACCAAGGGAAACTTTTTAACAAATTCAGCACCCCAGCAGGCAGCCTTTAAAACCCCATTATTATTGCCCATTTTTCCCAGCATACACCCTATATATACCCAGGAGAAACAAACCTCATTTGCCCAGGCTGGTGTTGTTCAGGAAAAAATGGTTCTACCTCAATGACAAATTGTCTTGCCCAATTCCCAGAAACCTTCTGTACTTTCATATACGCACAACCATTTCCATGTGGTTTACTGCCACCTACTCCAGCTTTTAAAAACTTATATATATTCTCCCATCATGGCCGCCAATCACAAAAATATTACTAACGCGTGTTCCCTTTGCACTCAGACTTCTCCTCAAGAAGGTATCAAATCACCTCCCTTCCCCACACACCAAGCTCAAGGACACCTGCCAGGGCAGGACTGGGAAATCAACTTCACACACATGCCTCCTATAAAACGAGTCTGATACCTTCTGACAATAATAGATACATTCTCTGGATGGATAGAAACTTTTCCTACCACCACCAAAAAGGCACACACTGTCACTTCCATTCTTCTCACCCATATTATCTCCCAGTTTAAACTCCCCTCTTCCATTAGGCCAAATTTGTTTCACAGGTTAACCAACAGCTGGCGAAGGCTCTAAACATTAAATAGCGTTCCATATTCCTTATTGCCCCCAATCTTCAGGAGAAGTTAAATGGACCAATGCCCTTTTGAAACAACAACTAACCAGATTCTCTAGAGGTTAAAATGGCTGGACTTCACTTCTCCTATTGGCCCTCATGCCCTTGCAAGCCATTCCCCAAAAGCCCCTCATCCTAAGCCCATTTAAACTCATGTACAAACACTCCTTTATCCTCCAGAATCTCCCTGTCTCTTCTTCCCCTTCTGTACCAGATACTTGGCCAGCACTACACTTCACTCAACATCTAATAAGACAGTATGCAAATGTTTACTTGCCCTAGCCTGAAAGTCCATCCTCGAAATACCCCTCCCTCTCCCTACAACCAGGGGACTGGGTCTGGATCACAGACTCTTCCTCCTCCCCTCTCCAACCTAAGTGGACGGGTCCTCACCAGGTTATCCTAGCTAATCCCACAACAACAAAGCTAACATCCCTTCCACACTGGATACATCATTCCAAACTAAAAAGAGAACCAGATCCACATCCAGAAATTTCCTCCCCCGCCCCCACCAAATTATTCTCCCTCTCTCACAGGACCAACCTCTCTGCACTTCACAGAAATTCCAGAAGTTGCCAATCCAGAAGGCCTTGATCCATAACATTCTCTGCCTCTAATTTCAAATCTATTATCTCATACCTTGTTTCAGATCTTTCCTGGTATCCCTTTCCCATGTCTCTGGAGAGTCCAGTCCAATTTCTCACAATAATCTGGGAGCTATGGCTGCAGGACACATTCCAAAATTTCACTCCTACTCAAATCTCCTTTTTCTCCTTTTGTCCTCTTTGTCTGTGGGATACTGTAAGTCCCCACTCCCAACCTCTGGCAGTTGGGCCCCCTTTGTCAGCCTCACACATCCCCTCTTAAATCAGTCACACTCCCTTCTTTCTTCCAACTGTTAAATTTGTTGTCTACACAAATCCAGCAGTTCACAGCCCTTCCGGTTAACCTAACTGCATAAATCTGATCCAAAAATAAATCTGAATCTCACCTACTCAGCCAATCCATTCCCAAAACCTGTTTGTAATCTTGCTTGGCTAAACACGATTCCCCCAAATCCACCCACAGCATCACGCACAGGGCTGTCACCCTCCTTTGCCTCATGGCCTCTAAATTAAACATGTTACAAGCCGGATTCCATAAAACGCCCCTTACCAATCTCTCCCCTCTCTGCTGCAGCTGCTCTCCATGTATCCAACTCACAGACACTCTGAAAGAAATGCACAAACAATTCCCTCAACTGCAGCCTACATCATTCTGCCCTAACAGGACTGCAATGGCTATTAGTTAAAAAAGCTCTTTTATCTCTCTCTCTACAAAGCCAAACAGCCTTCACCTCCTTCTCCACCAACATTCCCTATCAGGCTCTCATAGTGGCTACCGTTGTTAACAGCTATTCAACCTAGAAAAAACAAAAAGGTTGAGACAAAAATTTTTTCCAGGATTCAACCGCCACCTTCTCATGGCTTGCTACCTTCACTTACAACTTTTGCCTGTCAACCTCCAGTCTTTTCTGGGTGACACAAACTCTTATCTTGCTTACTGGCAGGTGGGTCAGGAACGTGCACCCTGGTTTGTCAATCTCCAAACATTAACATTTTGCCAAACAACCAGCCCATCCAGGTTCCTTTAGTAACTTCTGTCTCATCTTCCTCCACATGCACTATGTGGGTTCTACATCTCATTCCTCTGGAAACAGGAATACACATCTCCTCTGCACTTGCTACCAGAATAGCAAATATATCAACCTCAACTGCCCTATATAAAAAATATCTACAGTCCTCTATAATACCCTAAAGGACATGTATAATTCCATTACGAGACTCCAAAGGCAGATAAATTTCCTTGTGGGAGTCATCTTCCAAAACCAAAGGGCCTTAAACCTGCTATCTGCTGAGAAGGGGGGGGTACATAAGTATATCTCCAAGAAGAATCTGTTTTTAGGTTAATGAATCTGGCATTGTTAACTGCACAGCCCACAGACTCCATGACGGCTGCAGAAATCCAACATCATGACACTGACTCTTAGTGGCAGGAGTCATTCCTCCTAAAGTGAATCCCCCTTTCTTAGGGCCCCTGATTTTCTTCCTCATAATAATAACAATCGGTCCATGTATAATCGCCTTCATATTCTACTTTATCTCCCAAAGGCTGAACTCCCTTGTCTAGGCAGCCACCCAAAAATAATTGATACCATCTTTCTCCTCCACCAAGTCTGGTGTCAGCACCTCCAGGAAAACAACTCTGAAGTCAGACATCCACTACTTCAAAACCCAAACCCTGATTACAGTGCCGTTATTCAGCAGGAAACAGCCAGATAACCAAAAAATGCCCCACTTTCTTTTATATTAAAGTAAAAGGCAAGAATGTTAGTCCAAACTGCACCATTTTATAAGCTCCCCATTATTTAGCAGGCCTCAGTCAAAGTGAAACATCTCACTGGGGTTCGGGCCGTGAGAAACAACCTGCCTAACCACCTGACCACAAGGTGGACAAAGGCCCAAATGAAGAAACAGCCTGCCTCTTATCATATTCTGCTGGGAGAAAGTACAAGGAGGAGCACCACATTCTGCCGGTACAAGGGCCAGAACCACCTCATCATGGGAACATCTTATCAGTATCCTGCCGGGCAGCAAGCCATACTGCCCAGACCCCTCCTGCCCATACCTAGAAATTACCCCAGCGGTGGGCACTGTCATTAGGCTGGTCCCCCACTTCTGTAGGTTTTATGCTGAACTTAAAGACTGCATTTGCTGCCGAGCCACCCTCTTTCTGTGTGTGTGTCTTTCTTTAACCCTCACCTTCCCTTCAAAACCTAACACCCAGAAGCGTGATTGCTGGATCATATGAGAGTTCTATTTTTAATTTTTGGAGAAACTTCTATGCCATTTTCCATAATGGCTATACTAATGTACAATCTCACCAACAATACATAAAGTTTCCCTTTCCTTCACATCCTCTTCAACACTTGCTATCTTTTGACTTTTTGATAATAGTCTTCCTAATAGGTATGTGGTGATATCTCATTATATTTTTCATTTACATTTTCTAATGATTAATGGTGTTTGATCAATTTTTCAGATACTGTTGACAATTTGTATGTCTTTCTTGGAGAAATATCTATTTAGATTCTATGGTTATTTTTCAAAATCAGGTTATTTCTTGTTTGCTATTCAGTCGTAACAGCTTCTTACATGTTTTGAATTTTAACCTCTTATCAGATACATAATTTGTAAATATTTCTTCTATTCTGTAGGTTGCCTTTTCATTTTGTTAACAGTTTCCTTTCCTGTGCATATATAGTCACATTCGATTATTTTTGCTTTTGTTGCCTTTGCTTTTGGTGTGATATCCAAAAGATCATTGCCAGGATTAATGTCATGAAACTTTTCCCTTGTGTTTTCTTTTAGGAGATTTAGTTTCAGGTCTTAAAGTTTAGTCTATAATCTATTTTGAGTTGATTTTTGTGTATGGTGTGAGATAATAATTCAATTTCATTGTTCTGCATGTGGATGTCATTTTCTTAACACCACTTACTGAAACTTCTATCCTTTTTCCATTGTGTATTTTTGGCACCTTCATTGAGGATTAGTTGACTGTATATGTGTGGGTTTATTTCTGGTCCTTCTATTATGTTCTGTTGGTCTATGTATCTGTTTTTTTATGTCAAAATTATGCTGTTAGGCTCACTATAGCTTTGTAATATAATTTAAAATTAAGAAGTATAATGCCGCTAGCTTTATTCTTCTTGCCCAAGATTGCTGGAGCTATTAGGGTCAAAGTACTTAATCTTATTTATTCAAATATATTAGTCTTTATGGTTTGGTTTGACCATGTGTTAATGGTTTCCCTAAGTATTTGATCCTTTTTTTTTCCTGAACTATTGTAAATTTCTAGTATCTGAAGTACTGTTTGAACTTTGAAATCTTAGTAATGCTGTTCTCTTCTCTTTCTATGTTCACTTATTTCTCATTTTTCTCTTACCTATTTCTGTCCTAATCTGTCCTTAATATTTTACCTAACACAAATCCTGAAAAGAAAATATTTCTCTTTGGATGCTTTCAATACTTTTTTTTTGCCTTTAGCTTTCAGGTGTTTAAGTAGGATGAGTCTTGGCTGGAATTTTTGTTTGGGGTTTGCTCAGATTACTGAATATGTAGGTGAAGGGGTGGCCTGCCCCTCCATACCTGTGGGTGTTTCTCATCTGGTGGGACCAGAGACTGAGAAAAGAAAGAGACACAGAGACAAAGTATAGAGAAAGAAATGTGGGCCCAGGGGACCCGCGCTCAGCATACGGAGGACCCACGCTTACACCGGATCTCTGAGTTCCCTCAGTATTTATTGATCATTATCTCTACCATCTCGGAGAGGGGGATGTGGCAGGACAATAGGGTAATAATGGGGAGAGGGTCAGCAGGAAAACATGTGAACAAATGTCTTAAGAAAAAGGTGCTGTGCTTTGATGTGCACATACATAAACATCTTGATGCATTAAAGAGCAGTATTACCGCCAGCATGTCTCACCTCCAGCCTTAAGGCGGTTTTCTCCTATCTCAGTAGATGGAACATACAATCGGGTTTTACACTGAGACATTCCATTGCCCAGGGATGAGCAGGAGACAGATGCCTTCCTCTTATCTCAACTGCAAAGAGCCCTTCCTCTTTTACTAATCCTCCTCAGCACAGACCCTTTACAGGTGTCAGGCTGGGGGATGGTCAGGCCTTTCCCTTCCCAGGAGGCCATATCTCAGACTATCACATGGGGAGAAACCTTGGACAATACCTGGCTTTCCTAGGCAGAGGTCCCTGCAGCCTTCTGCAGGGTATTGTGTCCCTGGGTACTTGAGATTAGAGAGTGATGATGACTTTTAACAAGCATGCTGACTTCAAGCACTTGTTTAACAAAGCACATCCTGCATAGCCCTAAATCCATCAAACCTTGAGTCAATACAGCACATGTCTCTGCGAGCACAGGGTTGGGGGTAGGGTTACAGATTAACAGCATCTCAAGGCAGAAGAATTTTTCTTAGTACAGAACGAAATGGAGTCTCTTATGTCTACTTCTTTCTACATAGACACAGAAGCAGCCTGATCTCTCTTTCTTTTCCCCACAGTAGGTTTATCTCTTTCACCAAATTTGGGAATTTTTAGGCATTATTTCTTTGAATACAAACATATCTCATTTTATTGTGCTTTACTTTATTGAACTTTTCAGATACTGTGCTTTTTAGAAAATAAAGGTTTGTTGCAACCCTGTGTTGAGTAAGTCTGTTGGCACCATTTTTCCAACAGTATGATCTCACTTTTTATCTATCACATTCTGTACATTATCACAGTATTTCAAACTTCTAAATTATTACTCTATCTGTTATGGTGATCTGTGATCAGTGATCTTTGGTGTTACTATTGTAACTGTTTTGGGGCACCACAAACCACACTCATATAGGATGGCAAACTTAATCTATAAATGTGTGTTTTGACTGCTCCACTTACTGGCTGTTACCCTGTGTTTCTTCTTCTCCTAAGGCCTCCCCAATCCCTGAGACACCACAATATTGAAATTAGTCCAATTAATAACCCTACAATGATGACTCAGTGTTCAAGTTAAAGGAAGATTTGCACATATCTCACTTTAAATCAAAAGCTAAGTTCGTGAGGAAGGGATGTCAAAAGCTGGGTCTCTTAAGCCAAACAGTCAGCCAAGTTGAGAATGCAAAGGAAAAGTTATTGAGGGAAATTAAAAGTGCTACTCCAGTGAACATACAAATGATAAGGAAGCAAAACAGCCTTATTGCTTATATGGAGAAAGTTTGATTGGTCTGACAGAAGATCAAACTAGGCATAACATTCACTTAAGCCAAAGCCTAATCTGGAGCAAAGCCCCAAATATCAGTTCTTCTAATCTGTGAACATCCTATATATTTCCATTCATTTGTGTCTTCTTTAATTTCTTTCATCAATGTTTTATAGTTTTCAGTGTATGGCACTTTCACTTTATTTGTTAAATTTATTTTTACATATTTTATTTTATTACTTTTTGCTAGTGTAAATGGAATTGCTTTCTTGACTTTTTTTCATATAGTTTGTTTTGAGGGAATAAATGTTACTGATTTCTGTATGGTGATTTTGTTTCCTGCAACTTTGCTGAATTTGTTTATTACGTCTAACAGCTTTTTGGTGAGTGGCTAGGGTTTTCTAGATATAAGATCATAACATCTTCTTTTCCAATTTGAATTTCATTTATTTCTCTCTGGATTATTCTAAGACTACCAGCACAATGTTGAATACTTATCACAAGAGGGGGAATCCTTGTCTTTTTCCTGATCTTAGAAAACTTGCAATTTTTCACCATTGAGTCTGATGTGAGCTTGTGTGCTTTTCATATATGTCCCTTATTGATGTATATTCCTTCTGCACCTAAATCATTAAGGGTTTTTATCATGAAGGGATGTTGAATTTTCTCTGATTTTTTTTTCTGCATCTATTGAAATGATTATGTTTTTTGTCCCTCATTCTGTTAATGTGGTACATCACATTTATGGATTTGTTTTTGTTGAACCATCCTTGTATTTCAGGAATAAATCCCACTTCAGTGTGATGTATTATCCTTTTAATGTGCTGTTGAATTTAGTTCTTCAGTGTTTAGTTGAGAATTATTGCATCTGAATTACTGGCTTGTAATTTTCTTTTCTTTTAGTTTCTCTTCTTAATTCCTTATTGTTCTCTTCTTGTCTGACTTTTGTTATAGAGTAATTCTGGCCTCATAAAATAAGTTTGGAAGTGTGTCCTACTTTTCATTTTTTTTGGAAAAGTTTGAGAATGATTGGCAATAAGTCTTATTTAAATGTTTGGTAGTATTTACCAGTAAATACATCTAATCCTGTACTTTTGTTTGACAGGAAAATTTTTATTACTAATTCATCTCCTTACTCATTCCTGATCTGTTCAGATTTTCTATTTCTTCGTGATTTACCCTTGGTAAGTTTTATGTTTATAGTTACTTATCTATTTCTTCTAGATTATCATATTTGTTGGTGTATAATTATTCATAGTATCTTATGCTCCTTTGTATTTCTGTGGCATATCCGTTGTAATGTCATCTATTTCATTTCTAATTTTATTTATATTCTTTTTCCTTTTTTCCTAGTTAATCCATTTAAATGTTTGTCAATTTTGTTTATCTTTTCATAACCCAACTCAGTTTTATTGATTTTTCCTATTAAGGCTCTAGTCTCTATGTCATTCATTTCTGTTCTGAGCTATATTATTTTCTTCCTTTAACTAAATTTGCACTTGGTTGGGTCTTCTTTTTCTAGTTTCTTGATGTCTAACATAAGGTGGTTTATTTGGGATCTTTTTTTTTTCTTTGAAGTAGGCATTTATTGTTATAAACTTCCTTCTTAGAACTGCTTTGGCTGAGTCCTGCATATTTTGGTACGTTGTGTTTCCATTTCCACTTGTCTGAATATATTATTTAGTTTCCCTTTTAATTTGTTTTTAGATTCATTGGTTACTTAGAAGAATGTAGTTTAATTTCCACTTATTTGGGAATTTCTGATATTTCTCCTATTATTGATTTCTAGTTTTATACCATTGTCATGGGAAAATATACTTGATACAATTTCAATCTTCTTAAACCTATGAAGACTTGTTTTGAGCCCTCACATATGACCTATCCTGAAGAATGTTCCATGTGTGCTTTAGAAAAATATGTATTCTGCTGCTATCGGATGGAAGGTTTTGTATATGTCTTTTAGGTCCATTTGACCTAAAGTATAGTTCAAGTCCGTTGTTTCCTTATTGATTTCTGTCTGTGATCTGTCCCTTGTTGAAAATGGGGTATTGATATTCCCTGTTATTACTGTATTATAGTCTATCTCTCTCTTCATGTTTATTAATATTTACTTTATATATTTAGGTGTTCCAAAGTTGGAGTGCACATATATTTACAATTGTTATATTCTTTTGATGAGTTGATTCCTTTATCATTACATAATATCATTATTTTTTATTATACAACCAGCTTCACAGCTCTCCCATGGAGCATACTAAATGGTGAGATTCTTTACAGTATCTAGGGAAAATGCAGCAGGATAGAAGTCCAAGTCAATATCCAAAATGAAATTGTTTTCAAAGACACAATCAACCTTGATGGAATCAGTGAGAGCCCAAGCACTCTTGCTATGACTATTTTCATAATCAGGACATGGAATGCAACAATATGGAAATCTGAGTGATGCCAAACCAAGCTACTGTCAGCTGGTGAGTGAAAGAAGCGTAAAGGATTCATTCCACATTCATGCTCAGATGACAGAGAATGAAGAATATAGCAGTAGTGGTGGAGATGGAGGCAGTGAAGAGGACTTTTCTACAAACACCAAAGCTGTGAGCAGAAAGACTATCTGGTCATCAAACTTTCATACATCAGCTTGGCCTAACCCAAGATGATCCACAGTGGTCTGGAGAGTGATGATATGCAGTGAGATGATGTGCTAGACATCACTTCAGATGACTATGACCTCCCTTACTATCATATTGCAGATTTCCCCCTTGACCTCTAGAGCCCAAGGGTGCACTGGGCCCAGGTGTCCATATGAACTTCTCTGCCCCAGCCGAGGGGCAGTCTGTCTTAAAGACAAAAGGTGCCGAAGCCAGAATTTGAAATTGAATAAATGTTCTGAGAAGCACAATTGTTGTGACTGCAACTTTCAAATCTTTTTTTTTTTTTTTTTCGGTGAGATGAGTGAAAATTTATGTATTTTATCTTAAAGATTCTCTGGTTATAGGTTTCCTTCAGAGAAATTCTGAGATATTTGCAATTTCTTACTAGATAAAACATCAAAATTTTGCCCTGATTCCCTCTCCTTTCTCCCCTTCCTATTTTTTTTTTAGTTTTAATTTATTGGTTAAACTAATGGTAGCAATCTTTGAGGTATGTCTAAGAATGTACATAGGTATGTGTGTATATTATGTATGTGGTAACATATTACTGAAGGAAACATTTTAATAAAGATTTCTGCCATATTTTCAAAAACCCTCTGGCTTCAGATTCTGGGGCAAGAAGCTGTAAGAAAATTACTTGGCAGCTGTGCGCATTAATTGGAGCTCCAGTGGGGATATCTTTCATTGCTACCATTGCTATTCCTGAAATGGTCATCAGCATTCCTGTTTATGTTGACAGGAAGATTCACTGCACGGATAAAGGAAAGCAAACCTCCAACACAAGAGAAATTTGGCTATCACAGGAGGAATGACTTTGTCAGTGATTGCATCCTCAGTTATTACTGCAGTTAGTATTGCTTTTGGCATCCCAATTATGCTGGCATATGTCAATGTGACTGGCTAATTTGTCTCTCTCATGGAGGCTGCTGTGGTGTTAGCACAGTTGACCAAAAGGGAAGGAAAATTGAATCAAATGAAGATTATTGTCCAATCACAATGTCAGATGCCTGGCAAGCCCTCAAGGGTCCAAGCACTGGGGAAAGCAGCAATGAAGGCCTGACTAGTGTATTCAGCACCAGTGGAAGCCCTACAGATGGACCCTGGATTAGTCATGTCCCTTACAGTAAATCAGCTCATATTCTTATGTATGAGGTCTATTTTGCTGCTTAAGCTCATCAGATTAATATACCACTTTCAACTTCTACTCCTAAACAGAAATTGCTTCTTAAAAGTACTGTTCTACTTTAGTGATGTACAGTTATCTAACTAACACAAGACATTCAAACAAAATGTGCCTTAAAAAATTTAATAATTTTCCATTATTTTAAAAGAAATGCAACAGTGTGTCCTTAGGCTTTATTAACTTGTGCTTCACGACAGTGTAACCTTATAAAATTTGTTGAAAAAGTAAGGAAATCACTCCTCTACTACCTTTGTTGCTGAAGAAAAGCACTTCTTTCAAAATTAGAGGCTTGCATTGAAGAATAAAAATAGTAAGAAAAAATATATTTGCAATAAAATAAACAAAAATCACTGCAGTGAAGAAATTATTGTGCATGAATATTGCTCTCAAGGGGATTCATCTACACTAATCAGGCTTTTCCACCTCTCACCTATCAGAACTATCCTGCTTTCAGACTATATAAATACCCAAACAGATTTACCCACTTTGCTTTCTTCTCTATTTACTCTCTCTTTTATTTTTGACTCTCGTTTTCTCTACCTTTTGTTATTTTATCTAATAATCAATATTTGTTCCTTTTGCTTTTTTGAAAGAGTGCTGTATAGCTTCAAATTCACAGAAACTTAACTAATCCAAACCATGACTTGATAGTAACTTTGTGAACTTAGACAAGTTGCTTACTTTAATAGATCTAATTTTCATCCTCTTTAAAAGTACAGATAATAGTATCTACTTCGCAAGTTTGTTGTAAAATGTATAAGAGATAATGGATGAACACATGTGGCACAATGCCCTGTACAAAGTTGATGCTTAATAAATATTAATTTAGGTTCTGTGGTAAGCAAAATAATGCCTGCCCTCAAGATGTTCTTGAATGTGTACTACACATTCTTGTAGTCCTGAAATGTGTGAATATGTTACCTTACATAGCAAAACATGATCTCACAAAGTGATTAGGTTAAGAAGTTTGAGATGGGGTATTAGAATATTTCAGTGGGCTAATGTAATCACAAGGGTCCTTAAAAATGGAAAACCCTTCTGGTTGAGGAATGAGAGTTAATACAGGAAGTCAGGAGAGATGAAGCATAAGAAGAATTCTATACACCACTGCAGACTTTGAAGATGAAGGGGTCCATTATTCAAGGAATGTGGGTGGCCTGTATAAGTTGAGAACAACCCCTGGCTGGCAGCTGGCAAGGTACACAGCCTTGCTAGTATCTTGATGTTAGGCTGGTGAGACTGTGTGGTTTTAAGCTGCTAAGTGTATGGTAATTTACTTGAGTAGTCAAAAGAAATTAATAATTTTTTTCTCTTTTCGTACCTCTTTCTTTTTCTTTCATTTTGGTAGTAATTTTATATATATTTTATTTTGTAGACGCTCACCAAAATATGGTTAAGTTTGAAAAATATAAACAATTACTTGTATTAGTATTAAAGGTTTTATTAACATTCATGGCTTTGAGTAATCAAATATAAGAAGTAAATTTTAGAGAAATTCTTAAGCCTTTATAATTTTTGGATATTTCATCAGTTAAACATCATTGCACAACAACTACTTCTACACTCAATAGCCAAAATTAACAATTTATTTAACTCACCTTTCTGTAGATCATGATTTTAAAATGGACTTAGCAGGTGATCCTTTTGGCTTTTTCATGACTCTCTTGTCAGCTGTGCTTCAGCTAGGCATCTGCTCCCACAGAAGTCTTCAGGATGTCGGCTCTGCTATACTGAGTTTCCTTTATATAATCAATCACCCTCCAGCAGGCTAGCCTGGGCTTGTCCTCAGGGTGGCAGAGTTTCAAGATAGAGGGAACAGGGAACGACTGTTGAGTCCTAGGTTTAGAATTTACCCAAGTTCCTTCTATTGCATTCTGTTCTGCAAATAAGTCACAAGGCCAGTTGATATGCAAGGCTCGGGGAGATAGACTACATCCCTTGACAGGGAAAACTGCAAAGTCAAATTTCAAAAGACATGGATAGAGGAATGTATGGGAAATTTTTGCTATCAGTCTACCATATGCAAATATCACGAATTTTGTTATTACATTATTAATGAGAACATATTAATTCCTTAATGTGACAGAACAAATAGATGTGCCTTATTTATTACTGGTGAAAAGTACATTTTATCTATATGTGGATGATATTTGGAACAGTAATCCTAGCAAATATTTGAAATAAATGATAATCTACTGTATATAAGATAGTATTATATGCTCAAATTCTTTATTATAAGTTGTTTATTCAAATTCATATATTTTCTAGTTCAAGTTTCTACGTAAATGTTAAGAAATATCTATGAAGATGTTAAACAATTGTATTTTGTAAGATGATAGAAGTTAATTGTTATTTTTGTTATCCAAAGGAAATTTTAATTCTAGAAAACTAATTTTAGGAGAATCAATAATTAAACATTCTTAATATGTAACCCTGTATTATTCTGTAATTTAAACAAATAGACTATTTAACTATTAAGACAATTTCAATATAATTACCTTTTTAACATTTTCATATGGAAATGTCAAACATATACAAAATTGGGATACTCTTATAGACATCAACATATTTATTCTTCATCCTCAACAATTATCAGTTCCTGGTCAATTTTATTTCTCATATAATGGCCACCCTTTTATTTTGAAGCAAATACCAGACATTATTATCAAATAACCAGCATCGGAAGTTCTGGACAAACATTAAAAAAAAAAAAAAAAGTGAAACTGACTAGATTTAACACGCCAAAAGGTTGAAAACCAAACTACAATGTAAGATTCCATCCATAATTTCCATGGACTTTGAGTAGCACGTTTATGAAGCAGATTTAAATATTACCTCAAGGGCTCTGAAAAAGAAAGTGCCTTTGGAATAACAGCTTACAAAAGTGAACGAAGACCTTTGGTCTAAACTTGAACAGGATAATTGCCTGCCAAAATAGGACATTTAAATAAGATCCAGAATCCCCTAATATAAGATCTCAAATGTCCATACTACAATTAAAAAACATTTATTTTACTTAGAACCAGAGCATTCATAACTTGAATGAGAAACGAATCAACAAATACAATAGTAGTTGATTTTCGGTGTTAAATTGACTGAATTAAAGATTCCCCAAATATCTGGCAAAGCATTAGTTATTCTAAATGCTTCAGGAGGCAGTGAGCACATCCATCTTCTGCTGAAAGGGGAACTCAGATAGTCTGGTTGAATGATCAGGGACTTGGAAGAAATACGAATGGAAAATTGGTGACAAAGAAATTTTGGGAAAAGGTAGACCTTTCCGAGTGGGCAAAGAACTTAAAGGTAATTGTGTCCCATGTAAATGCTCACCAAAAGGTGACCTCAGCAGAGGAAGAACTGAATAATCAAATTGATAGAATGACCTATTCTGTGAAATCCAATCAGCCTTTTTCTTTAACCAACTGCCATTGTCCAATGGGCTTATGAACAAAGTCAGCATGTTAGCTGAGATGGAGGTTATGCCTGGGCCCAACAATATAGAGTTAAAATCATCAGGGCTGACCTGGCTATGGTCATCACCTAGTGTCCAATCTATCTGCAGCAGAGACCAACACTGAGCCCCCAGTGTAGCACCATTGCCCAGAGTATTAAGCCAGCTACCTGGTGGCAGGTTGATTACATTGGACAACTTTCATCATGGAAGAGACAATGTTTTGTCCTTACTGGAATAGACACTTAATTTGGATATAAATTTACCTTCCCTCATTCAATGCTTTGACAAAACTACCACTTGTGGACTTACAGAATGCCTTATCCATCATTATAGTATTCCACACAGCATTGCTTCTTAAAAGTAATTCACTTCACAAAGAAGTGTGGTAATTGACTTATATTCATAAAATGCACTGGATTTACCATGCTCCCCATCATCCTGAAGCAGTTGTCTTGATAAGACTATAAAATGGCCTTTTGAAGGCACAGTTACAGCACCAGATAGGTGGCAATATTTTGCAGGACTGGGCAAGGTCTTCTAGAAGGCTTTACATGTTCTGAATAAAAGTTCACTATATGGTACTATTTCCCCCAATTGCCAGAATTCACAGGTCCAGGAATCAAGGAGTGGAAATAGAATGGCACCACCATCATTCATCCTAGTAACCCACTAGAAAAAAAAATTGTGTATTATTTCTGTGACTTTATGCTCTGCTAGCACAGAGGTCTTTGTTTCAGAGGAAGGAATGCCTCCACCATGGGAGACAACAGTAATTCTACCAAACTGGAAGTTAAAACTGCCACCTGGCCACTTTGGGCTCCTCATGAATCTAAATCAACAGGCTTACAGGGGAGTAATGGTGTTGGCTGTAGTGATTAATTCAAACTACCAAGAATAAGATTGGACTACTACTCCAGAAGAGAAGTAAGGGAGAGTATGTTTGGAAAACAGTAGATCCCTTAGGGCAACTCTTAGTATGTCCTGTGATTAAGGTCAATGGGAAATTACAACAACCCAATTCAAGCAGGACTATGAATGGCTCAGACCCTTCAGAAATAAAGGTTTGAGCTGAGCTTGGTGGCTCATGTCTGTAATCCCAGCACATTGGAAAGCCAAGGCACAAAGATCGTTTGAGGTCAGGAATTTCAGACTAGCCTGGGTAACCTAGCAATACCCCGTTTCTACAAAAATAAAAATGAAAAAAAAAAATTAACCAGGCATGGTTCTGCGTGTCTGTAGTCCCAGCTACTCAAGAGACTGAGGCAGTAGGACTGCTTGAGCCCAGAGTTTAATGCTGCAGTGAGCTATGATCTCACCACTGCACTCTAGCTTGGGTGACAGAGTGAGACCCTGTAGAAAGAAAGAAAAAGAAAGAAAGAAAGAAAGAAAGAAAGAAAGAAAGAAAGAAAGAAAGAAAGAAAGAGAGAAAGAGAGAAAGAGAGTGAGGAAAGGAAAGGGAAGGGAAGGGAAGGAAGAGAAAGAGAGAAAGAGAAAGAGAGGAAAGGAAAGGAAAGGAAAGGAAAAGAAAGGAAAGGAAAGGAAGAAAGAGAAAAAATAGAGAAAAATAGAAAGAAAGTAAGTAAAGTTTCGAGTCAGTTCACCAGAAGGTAAAGAGAAAGAAGGAGGGAAGGAAGGAAGGAAGGAAGGAAGGAAGGAAGGAAGGAAGGAAGGAAGAAGAGAAAAAAATAGAGAAAAATAGAAAGTAAGTAAAGGTTTGGGTCAGTTTCCCAGAAGGTAAAGAGAAAGAAAGAAGAAATGAAGGAAAGAAGGAAAGAAGGAAGGAAGGAAGGAAGGAAGGAAGGAAGGAAGGAAGGAAGGAAAGGAAGAAAGAAAGGAAGGAAGAAGGAAAGAAAGAAAGAAAGAAAGAAAGAAAGAAAGAAAGAAAGAAAGAAAGAAAGGAAGAAAGAGGGAGGGAGGGAAGGAGAGAGGAAAAAAGGAAGAAAATAAGTAAAGGTTTGGATCAGTTCACCAGAAGGTAAAGAATCATGATTAGCTAAGGTGTTTGCTGAAAACAAACAGAATACATAATGGATATTAGAAGGTAGTTATAAATATCAGCAATGACCATATAACCACTTATAGAAACAAGGGCTGTGAGTATTTTCTTCCTATTTTGTTAGGAATACGTATGTTTGTATATATACATATATTAAGAAAATATCCTTGATAGATATATGTTGAGTTCTATCAATATTTAAATATTTCTAATTTTATGTCACAGTATTTAAGTTACAGAATATCTGGAGAAGAATAATCATCACTCAAGGACTTTATCTCCTCTTCTGGGGAATATATTAATGCATTTTTGTTGTATTCAATATAGTTTCATCATGCTAGGTGAAACTACCACCTTGCTATTGCCTTTATTTCAAGATTAAGTATGGTTTAAAGGAGAGGCATATGGTGCCAAGTTGACAAGGGATGAACTTGTGATGATTTATTTTGGGTGTCAACTTGGCTGGATTAAGGGATATTCACTAGCTAACAAAACATCACTTATTCTCAATGCTTCAGTAGGCATTGAGCCCATCCCATTTCTGTTGAAAGAGAATCCAGGTGGTTTGGCATTTAGTTAGAGTGGTTGTGCTGTCCCAGTTGGGTTCATGAGAGTATTTCTGCTGGAGATTGGACATTGATTGGGTGGACTGAGTGGGAAGAATTGCCCACAATGTGGGTGGGCATCATCCAATCAGCTGAGTCCCAGAAGTAACAAAGAGGTAAATTGGAACTTTCTTCCTGAGCTTGGGTGTTTTTCTTCTCATGCTCTTGGACATCAGAACTTCAGGTTCTCCAGCTTTTGGACTCTGGGATTTGTACCAGCCACCTCCCAAACTATCAGCCTCGGAGAGCTGCAACATCAGCTTCCTTGGTTCTAAGGTCTTTGGACTTGAACTGAACCACACTAAAGATTCTTTGGTTCTCCAGCTTGCAGATGGCTTATTGTGGGAATTCTCAGCCTTCATAAACAAGTGAGCCAATTCCTCTAATAAATTCCTTCTCATGTACATCTCTTTACAATAGGACCTACATATCCTTAGGTTCTACACCTACAGACACAGAGTGCTTACTGTTCTATGCTATTTAATATAAGGGACGTGGGTATCTTTGGATTTTAGAACCAATGCCCTGCAGATAGTGATGGACAACTGTATATATGTTCAGTGGGGTGTGTCTCTCTGGAAAACCCTGACTAAAACACATATCAAGCTTGTTATGACTCAGATGGTGAAATTATCTGAAAAGGATTTTAATGCAACCATCAAAACATGCTTCAACAAGCAATATCAAATTCACTTAAAGCAAATGAAAATATTTTAACAATTCAAAAAAGAAATGAAGTTATAATTATAAAAACAATCAAGTGGAAAATATAGAAGAAAAAAATGCAATAATATCAAAAGCAACAACTTACTGGATTGGCTCAATAGTAGAGTGGAGATAACAGAAGATAGAATCAGTAAATTTGGACGGGGTATGTTGTCTCACACTTGTAATCCCAATACTTTGGGAGGCCAAGGCAGGTGGATTATTTGAGCCCAGGGTTTGAGACCAGCCTGGGCAAGATGGCAAAACCCTATCTCCACAAACAATGCAAAAAATTAGCCAGGCATTGTGGCATGCACCTATAGTCCCAGCTACCTAGAAGGCTGAGATAGAATTACTTGAACCTGGGAAGTCGAGGCTACTGTAAGTGGTGATTGTACCACTGCACTCCAGCTTGGGCAACAAAGTAAGACAGAGTCTTACTCAACAGGCTGAGAAAAAAAAATATTCTGTCCCAAAAAAAATCAGTGAATTTTCAGACAATATAATTGACACAATCAATATAATTTACCTTATCTAAACAACAGAGAGGAACTAGACTGGGGGAAAAATAGAGCCTCGGGGATCTATATGACAGTAGCAAATGATCTAACATGCATATATTCTGAATCCTAGAAGAATTTACTGGAAAATTCTACTAAAATTTAAATAAGAACTAACATGAATTCTGCCTGATCTGTTCCAGGACATTAAAAAATAAGGAAACATTTCTAACTCATTTTATGAGGCCAGTATGCCCTGACAGAAAAATCAGACATATTTTTAAAGAGACAAACTACATACCTATATCTCTCATAAACTTTGACAAAAAAAATCTTCAACATAAGATGAGCATGTAGGATCCAGCGTTATAGAAAAAGAAAATATACATCACAATAAAGTGGAGATTGAGAATTGCAAGGTCAGTTTAAAATTCAGTAATCAATCAGTATAATTAATGATATCAACAGGCTAAAAATAACCTGCAGTTAGCAGCATATTTAATGGTGAAATATTATCTTTTCTTACACTAAAAACAAGCAAGGATGTCTGCTATTGCCACTCATATGAAACATAGTACTGAAGGTTTAGCCTGCACAATAAGGCAAGAAAAGAAAAGAAAAATCATGAAGATTATATAGGAAGAAATAAAAGTATTCCTATTTAAAGATTATATGGCTATTTATTTAGAATATTCTAAAGAGTTCTTTAAACATGTGCCCTACTAACATTAATAAGTGTGTCCAAAAATATTGCAGGACACAAGACAAAATCAGTCATATTTTTAAATACTATCAATTGAAAACATGGAAAGTGGAGTGAAAAATGTGACAGTTGTAATTATTCCCCTGAAATTAAATCCTTAGGTATAAATCTAATAAAATGTCTACAGTATCTGCATAATGAACATTGAAAAATGCTAATACAATAAATAAAGGAAATGCTAAACAAATGGAAAGACATACCACGTTCATAGATTGGATGACTTAACATAGTAAAGGTGTTAATTCTCCACAAATAAATCAATAGATTTAACAAAATTGTGAATAAAAGTCAGGCAAGATGTTTTGTATATAAATAGACAATTATAGACAAGCTGATTTTAAAATTTAAGTGAAAAAATCAAGCAACAAAATAAATGGAATAATTATTTTTAAATGTAGAGGAAAGTGGAAGCAATCACTCTACCTATTGTTAAGATACATACATAGTGACAATAATCCAGACAATGTGATATCAGTGGAGTCATAGACACTTAGATAAAGGCAATAAAATAGTGAATCTAATAACAGACTCACCAACTGTGTCAACTGATATCTGAGAAAGGCACAAAAAGTTTTTCAGTGGAGCAAAGATGGTCTTTTCAACAATAATGTTGAAAGACATTCATATGCAAAGAAAATAAATGATCATTGACTTGAGCCTCACATACTGTACAAAGATTATCTCAAAATGAATCATAAACCTAAATGTAAAGCTATAATTTTTTTCAAAAAATCACAAGTAGAAAGCTTTGAAACTCATGGTTACTCAGAGTTCTTAGCCATAACACTGATAGGGAAGGAAAGATATCTTTATTTTGCCTATTGATTGGTTCATGGCTGAGGCCTCTATAGCAAAAGACAGGTTAATCAGAGAAAACATAATGATGATTCAGTGAAACAGGTAAATTTTTGTATTTTTCTGCTTAGGTTTCATGAAGAGTGGACAGTTCTAGAAAAATACGATTGGAGTATAAAAGGATGTGATCTACTAGTAACAAACTTGGGTGGGGGTATTTAACAAGGCTTCTTTGTTATTCTTTTCAGGATCTTTAGAGATAAAGATGTTCCTTTCCTCCACATATAGGGAGGACAGTTTTCTAATGAGGTTCTTATGATCTGCTTCAGGGAAGAGGGGTGGCAGAAGGTCAGAGTTACTTTCCTAGGTTTTATGACCTAATTCAGAGGAAAAGGGTTAAGAGAAGGTAAGAGTGGTCTTCTTGCTTCTGCTGTTTTCTCAAATGCCAAAGGTGCCATATTTTGGGGTAGTGTGTTCTGAATTCTATTAAAACAAATTAATAAAGCACAAAGAAAAATGAAATAAATTGAACTTCTGAAAAAGATCCTGACAATTGAACAACAGAATTAAAAAAGCTGATAGACTGGAAGAAAATATTTGTACAACATATATCTGACAAAGAACTTGTATCTAAAATACATGGAGAACTCTCAAAACTTAATAATAGTAATGTTAGGGTGGCAATTTTAGATCTTTCTTGCTTTCTCCGGTGGGCATTTAGTGTATAAATTTCCCTCTAAACACTGCTTTAGCTGTGTCCCAGAGATTCTGGTACATTGTCTCTTTGTTCTCATTGGTTTCAAAGAACTTATTTATTTCTGCCTTTATTTCGTTATTTACCCAGTAGTCATTCAGGAATAGGTTGTTCAGTTTCCATGTAGTTGTGCAGTTTTGAGACGGAGTCTCACTGTCTTCCAGGCTGGAGTGCAGTGGCATGATCTCGGCTCACTGCAAGCTCCGCCTCCTGGGTTCACGCCATTTTCCTGCCTCAGCCTCCCGAGTAGCTGGGACTACAGGCGCCTGCCACCATGCCCAGCTAATTTTTTGTATTTTTAGTAGAGATGGGGTTTCACTGTGTTAGCCAGGATTGTTTCGATCTCCTGACCTTGTGATCTGACCACCTCGGCCTCCCAAAGTGCTGGGGTTAGAGGCATGAGCCACCACACTTGGCCTTGAGTGAGTTTCTTAATCCTGAGTTCTAATTTGACTACACTATGGTCTGAGAGACTGTTTGTTATGATTTCCATTATTTTGCATTTGCTGAGGAGTGTTTTACTTCCAATTATGTGGTCAATTTTAGAATAAGTGCAATGTGGTGCTGAGAAGAATGTATATTCTGTTTATTTGGGGTGGAGTGGTATGTAGATGACTATTAGGTCCACTTGGTCCAGAGCTGAGTTCAAGTCCTGAATATCCTTGTTAATTTTCTGTCTTGTTGATCTGTCTAATATTGACAGTGGGGTGTTAAAGTCTCCCACTATTATTGTGTGGGAGTCTAAGTCTCTTTGTAGGTCTCTAAGAGCTTGCTTTATGAATCTGGGTGTTCCTGCACTGGGTGCATACATATCATATATATTTAGGATAGTTAGCCCTTTTTGTTGCATTGATCCCTTTACCATTATGTAAGGGCTTTCTTTGTCTTTTTTTGATCTTTGTTGTTTTAAAGTGTGTTTTATCAGAGACTAGGATTGCAAACCCTGTATTTTTTTTTCTTTCCATTTGCTTGGTAAATATTCCTCCATCCCTTTATTTTGAGCCTATGTGTGTCTTTGCACGTGAGATGGGTCTCCTGAACACAGCACACTGATGGGTCTTGACTCTTTCTCCAGTTTGCCAGTCTGTGTCTTTTAATTGGGGCATTTATCCTGTTTACAATTAAGGATAATATTGTTAAGTATGAATTTGATCCTGTCATTATGATGCTAGCTGGTTATTTTGTCCGTTAGTTGATGCAGTTTCTTCATAGTGTCAATGGTCTTTACAATTTGGTATGTTTTTGCAGTGGCTGGTATTGGTTTTTCCTTTCCATATTTAGTGCTTCCTTCAGGAGCTCCTGTAAAGTAGGCCTGGTGGTGACAAAAATCTCTCAGCATTTGCTTGTCTATAAAGGATTTTATTTCTCTATCGCTTATGAAACTTACTTTGGCTGGACATGAAATTCTGGGTTGAAAATTCTTTTCTTTAAGAATGTTGAATATTGGCCCCCACTCTCTTCTGGCTTGTAGGGTTTCTGTAGAGAGCTCCACTGTTAATCTGATGGGCTTCCCTTTGTGGGTAACCTGGCCTTTCCCTCTGGCTGCCCCTAACATTTTTTTCCTTCATTTCAACCTTGGTGAATCTGACTCTTATGTGTCTTGGGGTTGTTCTTCTCGAGGAGTATCTTTGTGGTGTTCTCTGTATTTCCTGAATTTGAATGTTGGCTTGTCTTGCTAGGTTGGGGAAGTTCTCCTGGATAATATCCTGAAGAGTGTTTTCAACTTGGTTCCATTCTCCCCATCACTTTCTGGTACACCAATCAAATGTAGGTTTGGTCTTTTTACATAGTCCCATATTTCTTGGAGGCTTTGTTTGTTCCCTTTCATTCTTTTTTTCTTTAATCTTGTCTTCATGCTTTATTTCATTAAGTTGATCTTCAATCTGTGATATCCTTTCTTCTGCTTGATTGATTCAGCTATTGATATTTGTGTATGCTTCACAAAGTTCTCATGCTGTTTTTTTCAGCTCCATCAGGTCATTTATGTTCTTCTCTAAACTGGTTATTCTAGTTAGCAATTCCTCTAACCTTTTTTCAAGGTTCTTAGCTTCCTTGCATTGGGTTAGAACATGCTCTTTAGCTCAGAGGAGTTTGTTATTACCCACCTTCTGAAGCCTACTTCTGTCAATTCATCAAACTCATTCTCCGTCCAGTTTTGTTCCCTTGCTAACAAGGAGCTGTGATCCTTTGGAAGAGAAGAGGTGTTCTGGTCTGGAGAATTTTCAGCCTCTTTGCACTGGTTTTTCCTCATCTTCCTGGATATATCTAACTTTGGTCTCTGATGTTGGTGACCTTCGGATGGGGTTTCTGTGTGGACGTCTGTTTTGTTGATGTTGATGCTATTCCTTTCTGTTTGTTAGTTTTCCTTCTAACAGTCAGGCCTCTCTGCTGCAGGTCTGCTGGAGTTTTTTGGAGGTCCACTCCAGACGCTATTTGCCTGGGTATCGCCAGGGGAGGCTGCAGAACAGCAAAGATTGCTTCCTGTTCCTTCCTCTGGAAGCTTCATCCCAGAGAGGTACCCACCAGATGCTAGCTGGAACTCTCCTGTATGAGATGTCCGTAGAACCCTGCTGGGAGGTGTCTCCCAGTTAGGAGGCATGGGGGTCAGGGACCCACTTGAGGAGGCAGTCTATCCCTTAGCAGAGATCGAGCACGGTGCTGGGAGACCTGCTGCTCTCTAAAGAGCCAGCAGGCAGGAAGATTTAAGTCTGCTGAAGCTGCACCCACAGCCGTGCCTCCCCCAGGTGCTCTCTCCCATGGAGATGGAAGTTTTATCTATAAGCCCCTGACTGGGATCCTGCCTTTCTTTCAGAGATGCCCTGCCTGGAGAGGAGGAATCTAGAGAGGCAGTCTGGCTACAGAGGCTTTGCGAGCTGTGGTGGGCTCTGCCCAATTCAAACTTCCTGGCAGCTTTGTTTACACTGTGAAGGGAAAACTGACTACTCAAGCCTCAGTAATGATGAATGCCCCTCCACCCACCAAGCTCAAGTGTCCCAGGTCGACTTCAGACTGCTGTGCTGGCAGCAAGAATTTCAAGCCAGTGAATCTTAGCTTGCTGGGCTCCATGGGAGTGGGATCCGCTGAGCTAGACCACTGGGGTCCTTGGCTTCAGCCCCCTTTCCAGGGTAGTGAATGGTTCTGTATTGCTGGCATTCCAGGTGCCACTGGGGTATGCTGAAGGAGATAGAGGTATGAAAAACCCTTCGAAAAAATCAATGAATCCAGGAGCTGGTTTTTTGAAAAGATTAACAAAATAGACAGACTGCTAACCAGACTAATAAGAAAAGAGAGAAGAATCAAATAGACAAAAATGATAATTGAAATATGATAAAGGGGATATCACCACTGATCCCACATGAATACAAACTACCATCAGAGAATACTATAAAAACCTCCTTGCAAATAAATTAGAAAATCTCAAAGAAATGGATAAATTCCTGGACACACACACCCTCCCAAGACTAAGCCAGGAAGAAGTTGAATCCCTCAATAGACCAATAACAAGTTCTGAAAATGAGGTAGTAATTAATAGCCTACCAGCCAAGAAAAGCCCAGGACTGGATGGATTCACAGCCGAATTCTACCAAAGCTACAAAAGGGAGCTGGCACCATTGCTTCTGAAACTATTCAAAACAATAGAAAAAGAGGGAATCCTCCCTAACTCATTTTATGAGGCCAGCATCATCCTGATACCAAAACCTGGCAGAGACACACACACAAAAATTTCAGGCCAATATCCCTAATGAATATCCATGTGAAAATCCTCAATAAAATACTAGCAAACTGAATCCAGCAGCACATCAAAAAGCTTATCCACCACAACCAAGTTGGCTTCATCCCTGGGATGCAAGGCTGTTTCAACATATGCCAATCAACAAACATAATCCATCACATAAACAGAAGCAATGACAAAAACCACACGATTATCTCAATAGATGCAGAAAAGGCCTTTGATAAAATTCAACACTCATTCATGCTAAAAACTCTCAATAAACTAGGTATTGATGGAACGTATCTCAAAATAATAAGAGCTATTTATGACGAAACCAAAGCCAATATCATACTGAATGGGCAAAAGCTAAAAGCATTCCCTTTGAAAACTGGCACAAGACAAGGATGCCCTCTCTCACCACTCCTATTCAACAGAGTATTGGAAGTTCTGGCCAGAGCAATCAGGCAAGAGAAAGAAATAAAGGGTATTCACATGGGAAGAGAGGAAGTCAAATTGTCTCTGTTTGCAGATGACATGATTGTGTATTTAGAAAACCCCATTGTCTCAGCCCAAATTCTCCTTAAGCTGATAAGCAACTTCAGCAAAGTCTCAGGATACAAAATCAATGTGCAAAAATCACAAACATTCCTATACACCAATCATAGACAGAGAGCCAAATCGTGAATGAACTTCCACTCACAATTGCTACAAAGAGAATAAAATACCTAGGAATACAACTTACAAGGGATGTGAAGGACCTCTTGAAGGAGAACTAAAAACCACTGCTCAATGAAATGAGAGAGGACACAAACAAATGGAAAAACATTCCATGCTCATGGATAGGGAGAATAAATATTGTGAAAATGCCCATAGTGCCCAAGGTAATTTATAGATTCAATGCTATCCTCATCAAGCTACCATTGACTTTCTTCACAGAATTAGAAAAAAACTACTTTAAATTTCATATGGAACCAGAAAAGAGCCTGTATAGCCAAGACAATCCTAAGCAAAATGAACAAAGTTGGAGGCATCATGCTACCTGACTTCAAACTATACTACAAAGCTATAGTAACCAAAACAGCATGCTACTGGTACCAAAACAGATATATAGACCAATGGAATAGAACAGAGGCCTCAGAAATAACCCCACACATATACAACAATCTGATCTTTGACAAACCAGACAAAAACAAGCAATGGAGAAAGGATTCCCTATTTAATAGTGTTGGGAAAACTGGCTAGCCATATGCAGAAAACTGAAACTGGACTCCTTGCTTACACCTTATACAAAAATTAACTCCAGGTGGAATAAAGACTTAAATGTCAGACCAAAAACCATAAAAACCCTAGAAGAAAACCTATGCTATACCATACAGGACATAGGCATGGGCATAGACTTTACCACTAAAACACCAAAAGCAACGGCAACAAAAGCCAAAATTGACAAATGGGATCTAATTAAACTAAAGAGCTTCTGTACAGCAAAAGAAACTATCATCAGAATGAACAGGCAACCTACAGAATGGGAGAAAAGGTTTGCAATCTATTCATCTGACAAAGGGCTAATATCTAGAATCTACAAAGAACTTAAACAAATTTACAAGAGAAAAACAAACAACCCCATCAAAAAGTGGGCCAAGGATATGAACAGATACTTCTCAAAAGAAGACATTTATGCAGCCAACAAACATATGAAAAAAAGCTCATCATTACTGGTCATTAGAGAAATGCAAACCAAAACCATCTCACACCAGTTAGAATGGTAATCATTATAAAGTCAGGAAACAACAGATGCTGGAGAGGATGTGGACAAATAGGAACTCTTTTATACTGTTGGTGGGAGTCTAAATTAGTTCAACCATTGTGGAAGACAGCGTGGCGATTCCTCAAGGATCTAGAACCAGAAATACCATTTGACCCAGCCATCCCATTACTGCGTATATACCCAAAGGATCATAAATCATTCTACTATAAAGACACATGCACACACATGTTTATTGCAGCACTGTTCACAATAGCAAAGACTTAGAACCAACCCAAATGCCCATCAATGATATACTGGATAAAGAAAATGTGGCACATATACAACATGGAATACTATGCAGCCATAACAAAGGATGAGTTTATGTCCTTTGCAGGGATGTGGATGGAGCTGGAAACCATCAGTCTCAGCAAACTAACATAGGAACAGAAAACCAAACACTGAATGTTCTCACTCATAATTGGGAGTTAAGCACTGAGAACACATGGACACAGGGAGGGGAACATCACACACCAGGGCCTGTCTAGGGGTGGGGGACTAGGGGAGGGATAGCATTAGGAGAAATATCTAATGTAGATGATGAGTTGATGGGTGCAGCAAACCACCATGGCACGTGTATATCTATGTAACAAACCTGCACATTCTGTACATGTATCCCAGAACTTAAAGTATAACAATAAAAAAAGTTAATAATAAAAACAAAACAATTAGCAAATGAGCAAAAGACATAAATACATTTCACCCAAGAGAATATACATATGTCACATTAATTATGTGTAAAGATGTTCAAAACCATTAGCCATCGGGGAAATGGAAATTAAAACCACATTGAGCTATCACTATGCGCCTATTAGGATGCCGAAAATAAAATACAATGACCATCTCAAATGTGTGTGAGGGTGCAGAGAAACTGGATCATTTATACATTGCTGGTAGGAATGTATAATGTTACATTTTGTTTGAAAACATTTTTGCAGTAACCTTTAAAGCTAAATGTGGAACTTTCATATGACCCAACAACTACACTCTTGGCAATTTTTCACAAATAAATTAAAATTTATATTTACACAAAAACCTACATGGGAATATTTAAAGCATCTTTATTCATAAAAATCAAAAGATGCAAAAGAACCCATATTTCATTCAATGGGTAAATAATTAAATAAATTGTGGTGCATCCATACCATGAAATACTACCCAGCAATACAAAGAAATGAACTGTTTGTATATACAACTTGAATGAATCTTTAGGGAATTATGCTGAGGGAATACCTTAATCCAAAAGGCTTACATAAGGTATTAATTAATATATATATAGATACTTTAAATTACAAAATCATAAAGGTAGGTTTTTCATTGCCTAATATTAAAAAGAGGGGAAGAAGGGAGGTGGCTGTTATTATAAAAGGGTGGGCTGAGTATGGTATCTCACACCTATAATCCCAGCACTTTTGGAGATTGAGATGGAAGGATTTCTTGGGCCCAGAGGTTGAGGCTGCAGTGAGCCGTAATAGCACCACTGCACTCCAGCCTGAGAGACAGAGTGAGATCCTGACTCTAAATAAATAATTAAATAACTACAAATACAATAAAAGAGCAGTAGCAGGGATCCTTGAGGTGTTGAAACACTTCTTCATCTGGATTGTGGTTGTGGTCATACAAATCTACACATATGCTAAAATTACATGAACTAAATACACACCCATACACACAAATGCATATAAAACTGATGACATCTGAATAAGGCTGGTGATTGTACCAATTTCAATTTCCTGGATTTAATAATTTACTACAGTTATTTATAATGCTAACATTCAGTGAAACTTAAGGATACATGGAAACTTTACTGTTTTAGCAACTTCCTATGCATCTGTAATTATTTCAAGACAAAAAGTTAAAAAAAGGAAGGAATCTTTAAAAAATCATAACACAATGCTATTATCACACCTAAAAACTAACAATATTTCCTTTTCATTAATTATCTAGTCAGTGTTCAAATTTCCACTGTCCCCAAAATTTCTCTCTTTTTTTTTTTTTTTTGAGATGGAGTCTCACTCTGTCACCCTGGCTGGAGTGCAGTGGCGCGATCTTGGCTTACTGCAAGCTCTGCCTCCTCAGTTCACGCCATTCTCCTGCCTCAGCCTCCCAGGTAGCTGGGACTACAGGCACCCGCCACCATGCTTGGCTAATTTTTTTGTATTTTTAGTAGAGACGGGGTTTCACCGTGTTAGCCAGGATGGTCTCAATCTCCTGACCTCATGATCTGCCTGCCTCAGCCTCCCAAAGTGCTGGGATTACAGGCGTGAGCCACCACGCCCAGCCAATTTCTCTCTCTCTTCCTCACCACACACAGACACACACACACACACGCATGCACACACACACACTTCAGTGAATGTATTTTGAGTAATGGTCAAAATATCAAAATAATGTAGTTGCAATGCATATGTCTCTTAAGCCTCTTTTAATCCACAGGTTCTCCATTAATATTTTTTCATGACACTTTGTAAAAAATATAGATCACCAGCCTGGGCAACATAGTGAGACACTGTTTCTACAAAAAATTAAAAAATTAGCTGGGTGTGGTGGTGCACACCTGTAGTCCCAGCTACTCGGGAAGCTGGAGTGGGAAGATTGCTTGAGTACAGGAGTTCAAGTTTGCAGGGAGCCAAGATTCTGCCATTGCATTACAGCCTGGTTGACAGAGCAAGACCCCATCTCAAAAAAAAAAAAAAAAAAAAGAATATATATTATGTTTGTGGTATAGATTCCCATGGTCTGATTACATCTCTGTGGTGGTGTTTATTATGTTCCTCTGTCCTTTAGTTCCTGTAAATGGATAGTTGGACCCAGAGGCTTGATCAGATTTAAAAATTTTGATTTGGGGTAGGCAGGGGAGGGGAGGGAAAAAAATTACCCCATAGATTTTATTGTCATATAAAGGCACTGGTGTCTTGTTAGTTGTTCATTTTCTTTCTTTCTTTCTTTCTTTCTTTCTTTCTTTCTTTCTTTCTTTCTTTCTTTCTTTCTTTCTTCTTTCTTTTCTTTTCTTTTCCTTTTCCTTTTCTTTTCTTCTTCTCTTTTCTTTTCCTTTCTTTCTTTTCTTTCTTTCTTTCTCTCTCTCTCTTTCCCTTCCTTCCTTCCTTCCTTTTTCTTTCTTCTTTTTGAGACAAGGTCTCACTCTGTCACTCGAGCTAGAGGGCAGAGGTGTGATCACAGCTCACTGCAGCCTCAACCTCCTGGGCTCAAGCAATCCTTCCACCTCAGCCTCCCCAGTAGTTGGGATGACATGCATGTGCCACTACTCCTGGCTAATTTTTAATTTTTTGTATAGACAAGATCTCACTATGTTACCCAAGCTAGTCTTGAACTCCTGGGCTCAAGAGATCCTCCTGCCTTGACCTCCCAAAGTGCTGAAATTACAGGCATGAGCCATTGTGACAAGCCTGATTAGTTGCCTTTCTTTCTATGATATTAGCACACATTGGCCCATGACTAAATCTATTAATTCACCAGCAGATACAAACTCAATTTGATCTTAAGATTTGTGATTAACAACAATCCATGCATTCTGTAAAGACATTTGCTTACACAAACTCAATATTTGTGCCAAAATATATCCATTGCATGCCTAATTCTCTTTTAGATAATCACCTGAGTACAATAACTGTGTGCCTAATTGCCAATTACCTAATTATCTACAATAGGCTCTTTTAATGTGGAGAATTGAGAGTGGAAAATTGGAGGTCAATACCTAAAAAGTTTGGCAATATTTCTAATCACCATAATTAGGAATCAACAACACACATTGAAAACATCCAGAAATTTTCTGTGTCCTTTCAGGACTTTACTTTTTTAGTGAGATACTTTACATGTAATATAAAAGGGAGGAATGGAAATATAATATAGTGGTATGTTGATTAAACTATCACATCAAGGATTCAGTGCCTAGTCTTAGAATTGGAAAAGGCTTTCTTCTGTTTGTTCCTTAGGATGACAGTCACAGTGGAGAAGAAGGTAGTAGAAAGTTTTATTTAGAGCCACTTTTATTCTTATTTCCTGCAGTTAATTTTTTAGTATTATTAATAAATAAAAAGAAATTTTGTGTTTAAAAAATTTGAAATTTGGTGAATGAATATGACATTACCAATACTTTGACGAAAGGCAGAAACTGTGTTTAACTGTAGTTTTTTAATTAATAACCTGTAGAAGGTTAATAAAAGGAAATAGATTCCTTTTATGTATATGTATGTATATAAAATACCTAAACTCAAGAGCAAGACAATGATAAAGAAGCAATTCGTAGGGAAAATAATAACACCATTCTTAAATATTTCAAGTGCCTAAGGATGTCAGGAAAAAGCTTTCAAAGTCTGATGAATTCTTCAGTATTTTCTCCTGCTGCTCTTGTATTCACATTTTCCATTTAAGAGAATGCAAGGTCATTGTTTTGCCTTAAGCACTCCTGTTATTCTTACCTTCATTGCCTTTTCACTTGGAAATCTCTAGGATTGAAATTCCCTTCATCTTTCCTCTGCTAAGAAAACACCCATTCTGTCTTCAAAATTCAAATAAGGTTCCAAATCCTATGTAAAACCTTCCTGTGCCTCCCCTTTCCCATCACAATTAATTACCTTTCTCTCATTTCTGTATCTTGAAAATTAGTAAATTATCATATGAATCACAGTGCACTTTATTTATTTGTTGCTTGCCTGGTGTTCCTTAATTGTTGCTTGCCTGGTGTTCCTTAAAGAATGTGAATCTCTGAAGGGCAGCAAATTTTTTTTAGTCCTGTTTGTATCCACAGTCTGTAGTGTTGTGTTAGCACAGAAAGACATTTACTGGAATCTTGTTTAGCTGATCCAAAGCTGAACGTAGACTAAAGAAGGTAAGCAAGTACATGAAATTGATGATATTATAGGCAGGAGTAATATGAAATTGAAGAAAATATGTCATATGTAACTTTGAAATTAAATAGAACAGCAGAACAGAGAGAGGCAAATGGTCATAACAGATTTTATTGTGATGGCAAAAAATCTCTAAAAAATATGTACTATTTTGTAAATATTTTTACTTTTTGGGAAATAGAGTGTTTCATTTTTATAACTTAATAATAGAAGACACATGCCTGATTTTCATGCATTACTCTCTTTCACTTATTCAGCATGAAGTAAAATTTAAGGATTCTAGCCACCTGTCAAACAAAGCATTAACATTAAATTGACAGTTCTGTTAGATCTGTGTGTACTGTCAGTACAGACAGGAAGATTTTTAAGGCAAGTCTTTAGCTTAAACATGTAGATTACAAACATTCCTGTTTAGATGTAAACTAGAAAAACGGCTGTTAGAGATGAGTGAAAATCGATACAGAGGCAATCTCAAGGCATATTAGCTTACTTATCTCAGACCATTCCTGTCTCCAGTCGTCTCACAATTATAAAACCAATGCTACATATCATCATGGAGTTTTGCACTCAGTTGTGTGGATATTTATGCAACTTGAATCTAATTAACAGTTCATCACACCTCATGAGTTGTGCCATTGCGAATATAGCTCCTAACTGATAAGGTTGTATTTTGTTTCCAAAGTTACACAGTCATTGAAATACTACTTCTCAACTACTATCATTTTTTCTTAGTGATTTTCAAATTTCTACCCCTATTATTTTCAGAAAAATTAATTTGTAAAGATCAATTATAATTACTAATGAAAACAATCTCAGAAAAAAATTACAGTTTAAATGTAATAAGCTTGAGTTTAGTATTTTCATGTAGTAAAAAGAAATAGTTGATAATAATGACAGAAGAAAAAAGTACATAATGAATAAAATGATACAGATAGACATGGAACTAATCACTGATAATTCTGGTTCCTGTTTTTATAACTGCATGGAAAGAACCACAAGTCATTTCACTGATTGCATTTAGTAACATTTAATACTTTATGAAGGTCACAGAGCCCAGTAAATAAATGAAAATGAATGATCTTATACAAGAGGCACTGGAAGTTCATATTGAGATCTGTTCAACATTGTAGTCAATAAAATGATCGGTATTATAATTTAGTGTAGTACTTTATTTTATTATTTGACCTAAGACTAGAATTAAGATACTGTTCAGAAATCTTAGCTTTTTCATCTATGAAAGATGAGTTTTAATTTTCCTTTTCTATTGTGTTTTCTTCTTTTCCTTTTAACTGCTGGAGCAGCTAACTAATCTTACAATAATACTTTGAAAAGAATCCTTATGCAAGGGATAACACCAAAAAATTTCAGCGATAAAACAATTTCTAAATCCTAAAAAAATAGTGACAAAATTGCTTCCTAGTCACAAGAGTAACATGTGAAACTCAAGTGACTAATTTGTGACTATTATCACATGCAAAATTAATTGGATTATATTGCCAAATATATTTCTGGATACCTAATACGGCCCTTGTATGGGTAAATACAAAATAAAAGGGAGCTTCACATAAATTAGTCAATAAATATCTTTTGAACTGCTAATGATTTTCATGCCTTAGTTTACATGCTGAGGACTTAGCTGTCAATGAAAATAGAGAGAGAGAGTGAGACCGTGCCGTATATACACATGAACAAATAAGTAAAAAAAAATTCAGTCAATGATTAATTCAATGAAAAATATCATTTAATAAAGTAAAAGCATGACACTATTTTAAATATAGTAGCCATGAAAAGTGATGGCTACTGATTAAATATAGTAGCTGATGACCTACTGATTAAATATAGTAGCCGTGGAAAATGATGGCTATTTAACTGATTTAAATATGGTATCTATGGAAAGTGTATCTGAGAAGGAGATATTTAATTGAGACTTGAATCATGAAAAGGAAGCAGCCAAGCAAAGATCTAGGATAAGGCTGTTCCAAGAAGGCATAGTAATACATTACTTGATATGAGATTAGACTTGGAGTATACAAGGGGCAGAAAAAGCCCAGTGAGGCTGAATATAGTGGTAGGTGGCAAGAATGGAAGGAGGTGAAGAAGGGGCGATAGTCAGCGGGTTTTAAAGGCCATGATAAGTTGTTTTGGTTAATATTATTTGTACTATGGGAAGCCACTAAAGTTTAAGCAAGAGTGTGATGCAATTTTATATACTCTTAAAAACGCTTATTTTGCTTATTGTTTTGAACAAATTCTGACTAGAATAAAGGCAGAGAGACAAGTTAGGAATTTTGTTTGTTTGTTTCCCATCATAATCCAGACAAGATAAGATGGTGTTTTTAACAAAGTAGTAATAGAATTTCTTTAATTACTTTTGTGGGTACATAGTAGCTATATATATATTTATGGGGTACATGAGAGGTTTTGATACAGGCATGCAATGTGAAATAAACACATCATGGAGAATGGGGTGTCCATCTCCTCAAGCATTTATCCTTTGAGTTGCAAACAATCCAATTACACTCTTTTAGTTATTTTAAAATGTACAATTAAGTTATTATTGACTATAGTCATGCTGTGGTACTATCAAATAGAAGGTCTTATTCATTTTTCTAACTAGTTTTTGTACCCATTAACCATCCCTACTTCCCCCTCAACCTCCCACTCCAGTAGTAGTAGTCGAATTTTAAAGAAATGTTTAGATTTTTTCGTTTCTTAGAAGTACAGGCTACAGAATGTGTAAATAGAATGGGCTTGAATATCAGGAAAGAGAGGAATCAAAGATATTTCTTGGTTCTGGGCCTGAACAAATAGGTACTATTTATTGAAATGGGGAAGCCTAGGAAGAAGCAGATTGGGTCAGAATAGTATATGTATGCACACACACACACACACACACACACACACACACACACACATATATAAGTTGGAAATCACTATTTGAGATCCCATTTGAAATATTTAGTCGGTGGTTGAATACTGATGTTAAAACTATGGCACTAGATAAAATTACTTAGACAAAACTATATATTGAAAACAAAAGAAAACTGAAGAAAGCTCATTTGAATTCAACATTTAAATAGCAGGAGATATAGGAGAAGAATAAAACATTACAAGAGCCTAGAGAACAAACATGTTTCTGTAATGAGAGAATGTTCAGTTGTATCTAAAGAGGATAAATAAGAAGAAAATGGATTCACCACTGACTTTGGCAAATGTACATTATTGATAATCTTGCAAAGATAAGTCTCTTAGGAGAGGTATGGGTGAAAACCTAGTTGAGAATAAGCAGTGATTTAAAGAAAAAAAATACAAAATTATTCTAGGATTTTTGCTACGAAGGGTAGTAGTATAGTTAGAGTGTATTTGAAATATGGACTGTGCTCATAAAGTTTTTTAGCAGGAAAAAATATATATGACAGAGAGAAAGGAGTAAAGGTGATTGTAAGTGAATAACACTCCATTCTTTACAGTAACTTGGAGTATTCTTCTAAAATTTCCTTTGTGTATATAAATATGTTTTGAGTTTTAGATTTGTCACTGCCAGAAATACAAGATTTCTTAAGAGGGTGGCAATTCAAATCATCATTCGTAGATCAATGATCTCTGATTGATAGCCATATGAATTTGTCTTTGACATTTTTAATACTAACATCACACAAACCTACAATAACCAAAAATAACAATTCTTAAACAGAATAGCATAATGTCGATTATAGTATTGTAAGAAATCAACACTAACTTTGCTTGTTTAGGAACTCTATAAATTAGTAAAAATAAAAATATCAATCCTTTTATTAAAAATCTTTAAAAATGTGTTAATAAAAATTACTGCTCAATTTCTAAAGTATCTTCAGGGTTAAAAAATATAAATATGCAGACATATACATATATGTACACTTAGTTTTGAGTTCTATTATTTCAAATAATATGCTTACTAGGTTAATCTTGAATATGAAAATTTACATTTAAATATAGCAGCCTCTTAAGGCAAATGTGACAGAGAGACAAGCTAGAAATGTTTTCATCTGCCAGAAACTTGAGGTTGCAGAGAAAATTAAGAGGTAAATATTCTTAAACATCAAATTTTTTATTCAGACTCAAAGCCCTTTCTCTTTAGGGTAAAATCCAGGCTTAGTGAAATTCTGACACTACGGATCTATGTTTAAAGTACTGTGTATACATGTAAATATCTTGAATAATATGAGGATTATTAGAAATTCTTATGTAGTAGTAATGCCTTTGAAACTCATAATATCCTCTAAAAATCTATATAAAAGGTCCTGTGCCTTTGACCAAGTATACACACATATTCAGAATACTTCTCTGCAGTTTCACTCTAAAGTAATGGATCTGGTTGGTTGTATCAAGCAGCTAACACTTTCTTGGCTGAAACAGAAATTTCTCTTGCTGTTTTAAACCAAATGAAAGCATTTTTTTTGTCAAACTGAGCACTAATTTTAACTTCATTTTTATTAATTCAGTAGCTCATTTTACACAAAATTTTCATGAAACCTTATTGTTTTACTCTTTTACTATTCTTCACATTATGCTGATCTGTTCATTTATGGAGATATAGGTTGCTTAAAAGTATATCTAGTAGGGAAATACTCCCTCCTCTTTTTCCATTTCTTATTCAAAGTAACCCTTTTCTAGAAACATATACTCATAATTTCTATGATTCAGTGATTCATGCTTTAGTGTTTATTATCATAAAGAAATGGCACTTTCTAAATCATGGCAATGACAAAGTAAAAAAAAAAAAATAGGTGAATTGAAACAGGCTGTTTTTGACATGAATGGGCAGAGTACAAAGTCAGAGCAAAAATCCAATGAAAGCAGACCAAAGGGTTAATGTAAGTAGAATGAACTAATTAAGAGACACTAAAGAATGGCATTTTGAATTGCAGCATGTTTAAATAATAAAACAATTATAAGAAGTGAACAGCATTGAAGAGACTTCTAATAACGGCTGAAGGAAGCCCTATCAATTAAACATAAAAGTAAAATTAAAAGAAAAACCACAAAAATAGTTCAAAGGGAAATAGAATTTATAAAACACAGACGGCAGAGTAAATTATTAAGAATGACTTTGACAAGTAGCATACTATGCACATTTGTCATATTGTGAAATATTCACCTTGTTAATCCAATTTTGTGAAATAACAGAAATGCTTTTAATTTTGCCTCACCTTCTTAATTACAATAATAAAAGTAAAAGTGCTTTCATGAGGAAAAAACTAAGAGCAATTAGGCAGGACTTGGTGTTAGTAAAATTCTAATTAATGGAATGCTGTAATAATCACTGTGGTTGTAATAAATTACTTATCACAAAGGGGAAAATGACTCATTATTTCAACTTTTTGGAAATCAAATGTACAGTTTATATTAAGTGAAAGACTTTTGCTGTTGAGCTACCATGGGGTTGCTTTGCAAATGCAAACTAATTCAAAATCTATTATAAAAGTATATAAAAAATGAGTAAATTATTATTTAACTAATAAAGCAGACAAACCACCGGAATTCTGAAATAAAAAATAGGTTACAAAACCTTTGGTTCAATAATCTGAAGATGCTAATTTCTGCGTATTGTGTTTGTCACAGATAACAGTTTTTGGTTACTGGATGCTCTGATCTATTATCCTTATTCTAAAAACTGTCAGTGGATTTTGTAAGCAAACAAGGTATATGTTTATTATGGATCCATATTCTAAACTCAATGTATTTGTGAAATATCATTTTTTCTTCATCTATCACCTTTTAACTTTCCCTCTGCCCCAGAAAAATAAAATAAAATTATTGGAAATACATAGTGTTTACTGTCTGGGACATACTGGAAGTACAACTATCTGTGATGTATTTTGCATCCTGTAATTTTTGCATTCTGAGCAGATTGGAAAGGGAGCTTTCTTTACTTCTATTCTGACTGATAGATATTTTGAAAAATATGTTTATTTTGTTTCTTCCTCCTTATTTAAACATTTTCTTCAGACAATAATCCCGTATCTTTGGAACAACATGACCTATTGCTTATATTTACCAGGCTAAAACTACAAACATAACACTTGCATTATTGTTTTTCCACTCTGGTTGGTTTTAGTTTCTTTGCCTATTTCCTTTAAATATCCAATTTAACAAATTTTACTTAATTTTCAACATTGGTTAGACTCCCTATGGACAGCCATTTATGTATTTGTTGATGAAAAGAGTCAAACTCTGTAAAATATTTGAAGAGATTTATTGTGAGCCAAATATGAGTGACCATGGCCCATGACACAGCCCTCAGGAGGCCCTGAGAACATGTGCCCAAGGTGGTCGGGGCACAGCTTGGTTTTGTATATTTTAGGGAGGCATAAGACATTAATCAAATACATTTAAGAAATGCATTGGTTTGGTTTAGAAAGGCATGACAACTGAAATCAGGGGCTTCCAGGCTATAGGAAAATTTAGACATTTTCTGGTTGACAATCGGTTGAGTTTATCTGAAGAACTGGGATCAATAGAAAGGAAATGTTCAGGTTAGCATAAAGGATTGTGGAGATCAAGTTTTATTGTGCAGAGGAAGCTCTCAGATAGCAGAGTTTAGAGAAAGCAGGTTGTAAAATATTTCTTATTGGACCTAAAATGGTGCCTAGGTCTTAGTTGATTATCTCCTGGATCTGGAAAGGAAGGAAGGAAAACAAAGGGGAAAGGGGATTTTCTATAGAATGTGGATTTTTCCCACAAGATAATTTGCAGGGCAATTTCAAGGTATGGCAAGGAAATATATTTTGGAGTGAAATATTTTGATTTTTTTCCTTGTCTCATAATATTATGCCAGAGTCAGATTGGAAAGTAAGTCACAATATACAGGGTCAAATAAAACCCATCTGATGAGAATTTGTGGTTTATGGTTTGTAGGGCATGACTCCCTAGACCCCTTAAATAGGAATTTGGGCAAGATTAAAAAAAAAAAAAACAGAGTTTAGTCCTCATATTCATGAACAGTGAGATTCAGAAATGCTGTATGCAATACAAAGAGAAGGTAAGAATCTGTTCAAATTTTATCTACCCATGAAAGTGAAGCAAGAATTGAGAAAGGTAACTGGTTACTTTATAAAAAGAAAAAATCACAATAATGTTGACTATCACTCAATTCAATATCAGCTTTTCACTTGCTGGTGAATAACAACGACAAAAACTGAGAGGAAATTATTCATGAGCAATTAGAATTGAATTAAATGATTAATGGAATGCCTTTATTTGAATATTTTGGTTTGCCACTAAAGACACTCAGCAATATATCTTCAGGCTTCACTAACCCTTTATAAAAACAATAGCAAAATCTCTCTGATTCATGCAACTCCTTAATCTATTCACTGCTTCTCAAAAGATTATGTATTTTATTAACTCATTGTTCTCAAGCTATTTTCTTCTTTATTGTTGTTTTTAATGTTTGAAAATTATACATTTCCATCACGGGAGAAAGTAATTGCATTGGATAATGCCATCAATTATTTCTTGCCATGTCCACATTTCTTGTTTTTTATATTTGTATAGATTTATGCAGTACAAGTGCAATTTTGTTACATGGGTATATTGCACAGTGGTGACGCCTGAGCTTTTGGTGTCTCCATCACTGGAATAATGTACATTACATCCATTAAGTGATTTTTTTCACCCCTAAACCACCTCTCACCCTCCCACCATTCTAAGGATCAAGTTTCTATCATTCCACACTCTGTGTTCATGTGCACACATTGTTTAACTCCCATCACTTTTTTTTATGGAAATCCCACAGTCTTAAGCCCCTGTTGCTTGTGTTAAGGAAAAGGGGTCCCGATCCAGGCCCCAAGAGAGGGTTTTTGGATTTCCTGCAAGAAACAATTCAGGGAGAGTCCATAGAGTAAAGTAAAAGCAAGTTTATTAGGGAAGTAAAACAATAATGAATGGCTACTCTACAGACAGAACAGCTCTGAGGGCTAATGTTTGCCCATTTTTATGGTTATTTTTTGATTATATTTTAAACAAGTGTTGGATTATTCCTATCTCCCCTTTTAGACCATACAGGGTAACTTCCTGACATTGCCATGGTATTTGTAAACTGTCATGGCGCTGGTGGTAGTGTAGCAGAGGATGACCAGAGGTAACTCTCCTGGCCATCTTGGTTTTTTTGAGTTTTAGCCAGCTACTTTACTGCAATGTTTTATCAGCATGGTCTTTATGACCTGTATCTTGTGCTGACCTCCTATCTCATCCTGTGACTTACAATGCCTTAACTGTCTGGGAATGCAGCCCAGTAGGTCTTAGCCTCATTTTACCCAGTACCTAATTAAGATGTAGTTGCTCTTGTTCACATGCCTCTGACACTTAGGCAGTCGATTTTTGTACCATGTGATTCCAGTCTCTTAACTGCAGCTAACTAACTGTATCCAAGGGTAAGTCATTTACAGGCTACAGCAGACAATCACATATCCTGATGTAAAGAGCTGCTCCTAATAGCTATGATAAATATAAATTAAAATTGTTAATTAAAACTAGAGGTATAAAAATATTTTGGCATTCTGCAGTGGTGCTGCAAGAGACAGACATACATAATTTTAATAATGATAGTTAGCATTTACCAGATACTAAATCTACCATGAAAACTAGTAATATGATTTCATTGATTTTTCACAAAATCTCTACAAGGTTGTTAGTATTATTTCCCTTTTGAAAATTAAAAAAAATACCGAGGCTTTAGGTAATTTGCCTAAAATCATACTCCTAATGAATTATGGAGGCTACAATTAGCTCTAAGCAATTTTGATCCTGAATTTTTATTTGCAACCATATTCCTGCTTTAGAGCTCTCCTACAAAGCATTAAAACCAGATAATCTTTCTGCAATTCTCAGAATAAATGACAGTCTGTAAATTATTTTGTTCTGCCTGCCCATCACAACAAGCTTTTCTTTATCTGAACCAGCTTGAGTGAGTCTTTTCTTTGCAACTCAATGAGCTTCTTTTAAAAACAAACTTGTGTCTGTGTTGAGGTATATTGAACGGAACTACAGGCAAATTTTCCTGGCTTTAGAATTCAAGTATTCAGGTCATAAAATCTTCAACCATTTGATTGTTATTCTTCCTTTTACCTCCTGGACGAACAAGCCTTATGATAAACAAAATCGTTTATTTTTTGTGTGCACATAAATATAAATCATGAACTCAGATTTCTATTATTTTGATTGCTTGATTTAGAGGTGTTAAATAAAGTTTAGCCTAAAGCTGCCTCCTTACATATTTTAAGTTCAGCCTAAAGGTTTTTCTGTACATCGTGAACTATAACAAGTGGAGGTATAACCCAGACGACAGCCTATACTTGTGCCAATCACCTAGTTTTGGCCAATCAAATGTAGCCAACTGTTCAAACCATGTTCAAATAAGTCAAATGCCAAGCTGTAACCAATTCAGCTGTTTCTGTACCTTACTTCCATTTACTGTATGTCACTTTCCTTTTTCTGTCCATAAATCATCTTCCACTATGTCTCTGTGCTGGAGTCCCAGTGCCTGCTCTAGCTCAGGAGGCTGCCTAATTCGTGAATCATCCATTGCGCAATTAAACTTCTTTAAATTTAATTTGGCTGAAGTTTTTCTTTTAACAGATGGCATCAGAAGTGAGATCCAAAGTAGAGCTTCTAACGACCCCCAGGAGCGCTGAGTGACAAAGCAATGTACTCAACCACCTGTTGTGCCCATCGCTCGAGCTCTCAGAGCAGCTGGGGATTGTGGTAAGTTCTCTCTTGGATTCCAAAGCTCCATGAATTTTTGTTTTAAGCTCTCCAAGTTTCTTTGAACAATTTTCTGATCCAAACTGGGTCCAGCAGTCACGACAGAAACTGAACTGGGTCCTTGATTAGATTAGATCCGGTAACTAACTGGCTTGGATCCAGTTAGAGGCCTTTTACATCTGACTGGGTCAGAAAGAAACAGGTAGTAAATAGTAATATTGCAGGGGGTATAAAATTTGGCTTTTGGAAATTCGCAGGGATTTTTGTGTTCTACCCTTTTGTTTCACTTTTCATGCATGCTTAGGTTGGAAAAAATTGCTGGCTAAGTTGATCAACGGAACCTGAGAGCAAAGCCAGTATTTTAGGTAAAAATGGGATCCTTAATTTCTGAAGAACTGAGCTTCTTTCGGCTTATACATGGACAAGTGTTAGGCTCTGGAAGGAGCAAAGTCTTACAGAAATGACAAAATCTTAATAAAGATCATTTACAGTGGAACGTTCCAAATTAACAACACAGCACTGAAGTGCATTTGAAAATAGGCACTCCCAAATTAGTCTCATCTAGGGATGCCTATCGATATGCAGGAGCTCCTAAAAAGATTCTAATATTTTTATCTTAAAACTTTATGAAAGGAAAATAAAAAGCTTAAGCAACTAATTCATTTTTAAAAAATTAAATCTGCCTTGCACTCTTTTCTGATGGCTGCTGTGGTTAACAGGATTAGGCATGTACAGGACCATGGAACATGGGGAACTTTTGCTGCCCAAACGGGGAAACATGAGAGCTAATGGGACTGCTGAAAATGATCCCTTTGTGACCAGCAAGCAGCTACCTGAATTTTTGGTTAAGTATTGCTGCAATGGGTGGGTCTTTCTCTGACCTTCCTGAGCACCTCACCTTCTCTACCCTGCTGCAGGCAATGCTTCTCTCTCTCTCTGCAAACCAGTAGTGGGAATGGTAAAAATCCCTATCTCTTGCACATTTTTAATTAATAAGAAAAAGGATTCATTAGGCTAGTCTTAAGCTGTAGCAAATCTGGTGTACTTTGTGCTATGAATTTGTCTTTCTGTGTTGTTCTGTCATGAAGAGGGGTACTTGGGATAGAACATGGGCTTAGGACCACATTAGCTTGTTATTTAAGATGGCCCAGCAAGCTGGTCAGTGACAAATTTTGCTTCAGTTCCCCGAAACTAACAAAGAAACTGAATGAGGTCTCCATCTTGTCTTGTTTTATGTCCTTGGGGGCTTGACTTTGTAACCATGTGGCAGTACTTTCTCTCTATCTCTGCCATCCAGGGAACAAGAATTTTAGGGTTCATGTCATAGTTAGCTCTAAACATTATTTCAAGAAGTTAAAAGCCTTTGCAAGATCAAAATTGGCTACTCTAGACTACTTCTGGGAAGAGCAATGGAAACTGTCAATGATGTAGCTTTGTGGCTAAGGCTTTGTCTTTTCACCATGACAACCCAGGTTCAGGGTTCAATTCCCGGCTTAGAGAATGAGTACTTTCTGGTTAGATATCTGTGTAACTTTGGCCCTTTGTTGATTTTCAGCCCCTCCATGAACAACCTCTATCTTCCCTTCTTGAATCTTCCTTTCTCTGAGCTATCTTTGGAGATTCTAGATCTTATAAAATCTGCTAACCACCTCTTTCAAAATACCTCATACACTCATGGTTAGGTCATAACCTTAGTTAAGGCTTGTTGAATTCACCCGTGATGTTGCTTTTGTAAAGTTTAAAAGCCAGAAATATTGGCAATCTGGGCGGGCTAAAGTAGGGTAACAAGAAATTTAAAAGGACTTTTAAAAAAGAGGGCTATGGCTAAAAGTCAGCTTAATTAAAAGTGGATCACCAAGCTACACATACATTTGAAAGGCCTTTATGATTTTATTCTCTTCATAGATCTTGTTTTTTTTTTTTTTTCAGTCAACTGGATAGCTTTTCTCCATTTTGTCTTCTTGCCACTGTTGATGCACACATGAGAGGAAATAAAATAACTTCTAACAGCTCGTTACTCCAATAAAATAACTTACCAGGTTTTTTTTACCACAAATAAAAATTGCTAAGAGTTAACATTGTAACATGAAATCAAGACTACTGAAAAAACAGTTTTACATGCAAGGTATGTGAAGAAAGTGAAATGTGCTTTTAGTAAAAGATCATAAGAAGGCCCTGGAATGTAAATTTTTGCCTAGTAAGATAGAATAAAGCTAAATGTTTGAGCAAGTTGTTGAAGGTTTGTAAAAAATTAATCTTGTAAAAAGAAATTCTGTGAATGACAATATTGGCTATTTAAAGGAGTAACATTTGGTTTTTCCATAAATTGAACATTGGAATAAAAGCACAACAGGGGCACAAGTCGTGGTGACTCATGCCGGAAATCCAAGCACTTTAGGAGGCCCAGGTGGGTGGATCACTTGAGGTCAGAAGTTTGAGACTAGCCTGGCCAACATGGTGAAACCCTATCTCTACTAAAAACACAAAAATTAACTGGGCATGATGACGCATGACTGTAATCCCAGTTACTTGGGAGGCTGCGGCAGGAGAATCACTTGAACCCAGGAGACAGAGGTTGTATTTAGCCAAGATTGTGCCAGTGCACTCCAGCCTGGGTGGCAGAGGGAGACTGTCTAAAAACAACAACAACAACAACAACAAAGAACAACAGGATTTTCTCAGAGCACTAATCTACTCTTTAACAAAAATTTGTAAAGGGTTATAAAAAGGTTTATGAGAGTCTCACCTTATAATCAAAGTGATTAAGATTGAATAGATTTGTATACAAGGTTTTATTAAAAATTGGGGTTGACAATAGTATACTAATACAAGGATGAAATTTGGCTTTCTGTCTTGAATAAGATTTTCATGTAATACTAAAAATAATAAAAGATTTTGTTTGCCTTTTGAGTAAACTACAGGAAAAAAATGGAAAAACAAGAGACAGATTATCTGAAAATCTAAGTCTTCCATTTATCAATGAGTAAAGGTTTTTGCCTTTTTAAAATCTTTGAGTCATCATTTTGGCTAAATAAATGACTTTTGGTGACCTGGAATTCTCAAGTGTTTTAGACCTTTAACATATTTGATAGTCTGCCCCAAATAAAATTTCAGCTTCAAAATTGTCTTTTCTGATCACTAACTTTGGGATGCTACAGCGGGCCCCTGAAACATCCAAAAGAGAGGTAAACAGGATGATTTGACATGTTAAGTTACATGGAAATTGTTGTCAAAATAAATGATGTTTAACGTTTTTCGGGTTATATTTTAGTGAATGTTATTAATATATGTTTCAAAATTGTATGAGATTTCTAAAATTCTAATATGTCTGACTATATACTATCAATCAATTAAGAATTATGGTTATTAGGTTAAGTTATTGTAGACCACAGAAATAACCAAATTTCCTTGTCAATTGTGTTTTTAACTATGACTATTTGTAGTCATTTCCACAGTAAATTGCTTAATGCTGATGTAGTTTCTGAAAAATTCACAAGCACACAAAATCCTAGAATATGATGTCTTTTAGGAGGTTCATGAGAGGATGCAAAGGACCCTGAAAAGCACTCTTGAATACAGATTTCTGGAAACTTTAGAGTCATATCATTTGGACTGTTTAAGAATTCCTGGAACTTTAATTAAAAGACTGACTGGTTTATAAAATTGCTAATCCAAGTAGAACAAAATTTAATTGAATATCAAGAAAATATTTTCCAGATTTTTAAGTTAAATCAACCAACATGGAAATTGTTTAGATATACAATCTGAATGAACTCCATGGTCTCAGTCAAATTACCAATGAAAACCCATTAGTTATAAGTGCTATGCACCTAAATTGGAAAAACAACTGGTATTCAAGCAGATATAAGTCCGATGTTAAGCATGGACTCATGGAGAACCAAGACAGCCACGTTGTCTTTCCTGAGTCCTTAAAGCTTTTGTTATTAAAGGTTCTGCATTCCATGACTCATTATGGAAAAGATGAAATAATCCAAATGAAATATATATTGGTGTGGTCACTTCTAAATTGCTAAAACAGTTTATGACCAATGTTTGATTTGTCAAACCCATATTCCTGAGAAGACAATAAAAACTTCAGGTACGTTCAGCTACCTGGTAAGCCACTTAAACATTTATAGAGGGATTTCATTCAATTGTCCTTTTCAATGCATGTTTTCTCGTATAAAAGCTTTCCTTTGCAAGAGGGCTGATACATACAACAGTCGATTATTATGCCACCGTATATTTTCACCAGGTAAATAAAGCTTTTTATGGTTCACTGACTTAAAACAATCAACTCTTCACAATCTAGAACCCGAAGACTGGATCTTCTAAGAACATTAGAGAATGACTATCCTTGCCATTCACACTGCAGCAAAACTTCAGAACCTTGAACCTTAGGTTCATAATCTCACTACTGAGAAGGGTCCCTCCACACTCTTGGCACTGTGCACCCATTGGAACCCTTAAGGTAATGCTAAACAGGGAAGTTTCTTGACAGAAGCAGATGGAATCTTTCTTTTATTTTTAATTTTTCTATTTCAGTAGGTTTTGGGGGAACAGGTGGTGTTTGGTTGCATAAATAAGTTATTTAGTGTTGACTTCTGAAATTTTGGTGCTCCCATCACCTGAGCAGTGTAACTGTACCCAAGATGTAGTCTTGTATCCCTTGCCACCCTACACCCTTTTCCACAAGTCCCCAAAATCCAACGTGTCATTCTTTTTTTTTTTTTTTTTTTTCAGACGGAGTCTCACACTGTCACCCAGGCTGGAGTGCAGTGGCGCCATCGTGGCTCACTGCAAGCTCCGCCTCCCAGGTTCACGCCATTCTCTTGCCTCAGCCTTCCCAGTAGCTGGGACTACAGGCGCCCGCCACCACGCCCAGCTAATTTTTTGTATTTTTAGTAGAGACAGGGTTTCACCATGTTAGCCAGGATGGTCTCAATCTCCTGACCTCGTGATCCTCCTGCCTTGGCCTCCCAAAGTGCTGGGATTACAGGCGTGAACCACTGCGCCTGGCCCAATGTGTCATTCTTTTAGCTTTGCATCCTCATAGCTTAGCTCCCACATTATGAGTGAGAACATATGATGTTTGGTTTTCCATTCCTGAGTTGCTTCATTTAGAATAGTAGTCTCCAATTCCATCCAGGTTGCTGCAAATGCCATTATTTTGTTCCTTTTTATGGCTGGTGTATATATATACACACCATGGAATACTACTATAGATTACTACTGTAAATTTAAATATATAAATATGTAAATATATAAATAATATATAAATATATATATCAGATTTTCTTTATCCACTCATTGATGGGCATTTGGGCTGGTTCCATATTTTTGCAATTGCAAATTGTGCTGCTATAAACATGCTTGTGCAAGCATCTTTTTCATATAATGACTTCTTTTCCTCTAGGTAGATACCTAGTAGTGGAATTACTTGATCAAAAGGTAGATCTACTTTTAGTTTTTCAAGGAATCTCCACACTGTTTTCCATAGTAGTTGTAATAGTTTACATTCTCACCAACAGTAAAAAAGTGCTCCTTTTTCACTGCATTCATGCCAACATCTATTATTTTTTGATTTTTTGATTAGGGACATTCTTGCAGTAGTGAGGTGGTATCACATTGTGGTTTTGATTTGCATTTTCCTAATAATTAGTGATGTTCTAGGTTTTAATTTTTCCATGATTTGGAGTAAAAAAGGCAATGATTAGAAATGTATCCCTCATGATAGGCTCTGTAGCAGATACTATTGTAAAGGCTATGGTTACACAACAGACTTTAAATTCTCTTGTGAGAGTTATGCTAAATCTTAGAATTTCTCTAGATTACTTACTGGCTAAACAGACAAGTATCAGTGCAGCTGCTGGCACTTGTGTCCTATAGAGAAATACATCACATCAAGTATTATAGATTCAGTTGTAGGGATTAGTGAAGAGACTTAGTTTAGTGAATAGATTCTTTATCTAGCTCATTCTTTGATCTATTGATTTAGTTGGTTTGTTTTATGGGGACCCTGGGTAAGGAGCATGCTCCAAACTCTTGGTATTATACTCCCAATAGTCATAGTCGTAGTCTCCCTGGTGTGCTGTATTCTCGCAAAAATTGTAAATATTTGCATACTGCCATCTCTAGAATGTCAAATGGTCTCTCTTCAACTGGAATGACAAGAACTGAAGGAAATGTGTGACCATAAGGGCAACATAACCTATGAATAAAATTCTGAGACTAGAAACCCAAAATGATTGTAACTGAGAGTGGTGCTAGGGCCCTAAGTTTTGGTCAAACTCTCACCTAAGTGAGAACCTGACCAAAAGGGGAAAATTTTTAAACAAAATTATAGGAGGCCATTATTTTTTACTCAGCTCATGCACTAGGCTCCAACAAACCAGAACAAAACAAAATGGAGTTGCTCACGCTAAATGTGACATAATCTAACTAAGACTTTAAGGAAATGCATAGATCCTAGAACAGACCAGGTTTTAATTTTTATCTTGTAAACAAGACATTCATTCCAACAGAAAGAGTAAACTCTACTTTAAGCCTTAAAACAACAAAAAAAAAGAGAAAAGAAAACTGATGTGCCTGTTTCCATCTTACAAAACCTGCTGTTCTGCTATTTTCCAGTGGGTTTCAAGATTAAATAAATACATTTACGATAGTGATAGTAACATAAATGACTAAAGTTTTGTCAGTCTCTCAAAATTGAGAAGATGACCAAAATACGGGAATTGTTAAACAAAGTTTAGCCTAAAGCTACCTCTTTACATATATTAAGTTTCGCTTAAAGTTTTTTCTGTACATCATGAACTGTAACAAGTGGAGGTGTAACTCAGACCGTAGCCATTGTATATATTCTCAAAACTAAGAAGCCAGTATTAGTAAATTATTATTAACCAACCTCCAGACATTTTATCAAATGTACTTTTTCTGTTACAAAATCCCATCCAAGATAATATATTATATTTAGTTGGCATGTCTCCTTAGACATCTCTAGACTTTGACAGATTCTCTGATTTACCTTGTTGCTGATTACCTTGACACATTTTAGGAGTAGAGTACTGATTAGATATTTTGTAGAACCCCCAATTGAAAAATGGCTGTTTTTCTTTTAAATGATTATATTTGTTTTATGGGTATTTAGTAGGAAGACCACAAAAATTTCATATTCATCACATCATGGAAAGATTGCATGCAATCAACATGTCAAACCACTGTTAATGTTAACCTTGATTGCCTGGATGAGGTACTTCTGTCAAGTTTCTCCACTGTATAGTTATTCTTTTTTTCTCTCCTTTCCATGATGTACTGTTTGCAAGAAAATTTCTAAGTATGGTCTACTCTCAAGAAGTGTACGGTTAATTTCTGCCTCTCTGAAGAGAGAGAAGTATCTACATAAATTATTTAGACTTTCTCTATATAGGGAAACATATCTTTTTTCCTCATTTTTTACCCAAATATTTATTTATATCAGTATGGACTCATATTTATTTTATACTTTGGGCTAGAACCCAGTACTACTTTACTTATTTTGTTTCTCGAATTTCTTCAACTTTCAGCCATCAAGAGCTTTTTAAGTTTGGTTCCTGTGTTATTTTGACATGACCCATTCTTTCAATTTTTAGCACCATCTTAGTTGCCGGCACTACAAGATCTTCCTGACTCATTTTGTATTTTCCCAATACTAGCTCTACATTCTACATTAATTTTTTGTTTTCAAATGCATATGTTGAAGTCTTAACCTCAGTACCTCAGAATTCATACTAATTTGGAAAAAAAAGAGTCATTGCAAATGTATCAGTTAAGGTGAGGACATAAGCATGAGCCCTTAATCCAATATGACTGATGTCTTAATAAGGGACACAGAGACACAGACAGCAAAAGATGGCCATGTAAAGACAAAGGCAGAGATTGGAGTGATGCATCCACTGGCCAATAAACACCAAGGTTTGCTGGAAAACACTGGAAGCTAGAAAAAGCAAGGAAGGATATATATATAATTTCTTCAACCACTGCCAGTAACTGGCATGTGTTTCATCACTATAGTTTTTCCTTTGCCATAATATTATATTATGAAAATTATGCAATGTCTAGTCTTTTGGATCTGGCTTCTGTCACTTAGGAAAAAGCAAAGCTATTTGCTTGAATTAGTACCCCATTTTTTATATTATTGAATAGCATTTTTTATACAGTGCACCACTGTTTATCCATTTACATTTTGGTTATTTCCACCTTTTGGACATTATAAGTAAAGTTTTTGTGTCAACATTAGTTTTCAGTTCACCTGGTAAGCAGTTTCAGTGGGATTGCTAGATATTATGGCAACTCTATGTATAGCTTTATAAGAAATTTCCAAAAAGTGACTGAACTATTTTTTTCATTTCCATGAGCAACAAATGAAGTGGTTTTGCTTTGCTTTCTCATCAGCCTTTAGTGTTGTCAAGTTTTGGATTTTTCTCCTTTTTAATAGATGTGCAGTGGTATCTCATTGTTGTTTTAATTTGCATTGCCCTGATGAAAATGATGTTGAGCATTTTTTATGTGTCTACACAATTATACACACCCACCAACAATGTATGAGAATTTCTATTTCTCTACATTCTTGCTAACAGTTGTTATTGTTTGGCTTTTTTTACTATAGTCATTCTAGTGGTTGTAAAGTGCTATCTTGTGCTGTTGATTTGCATTGTCCTAATGACCAATGATGCTGAGCATCTTTTCATGTCCTCATTGGCCATTTGTACCTCCTCACTGTAATAATGTTTAAGTACTTTGACTATTTTTAAATTTAGTTATTTGACTTTTTTATTGTCATAAGTTTTTCTTTCTTTCTAACATGTTATGAATACAAATCCCTTATGAAATATATAATTTGTTGATATTTTCTCCCATTTTTTAAGTTGTCTTTCACTTTCATGATGTCATAATTTGCTGTACAAGAGGTTTTAATTTTAATGAAGTCCAATATTTCTAAGTTTTTTTCCATGTATTTTGATGTCATATTCAAGAAACCTTTGTCTAACCCAATGTCATAAAAGTTTTCTCCTATATTCTCTTCCAAGAATTTCATACTTTCAGCTGTTATATTTAACTTTAAGATCTATTTTCATTGAATTGCTATGTATGATGTGAGGTAGGGTTCAATTTTATTCTTTTGCAGGTAGATATTTAATTTTCCCAGTAGTAATTGTTGAAAAGATGATTTCTTTTCTATTGAACCTTTCTGGATTCTTCTCAATTTTTCCTTTGAGTGACTGATTGAGTTCTTGGAGAAATCTATGAACTCCTCATAACCACAGACTCTAGGAACATTATACTTTCAGAGTAGCCCACAGTTAGCCACTAGCTATTTATTAAAATGTATTATTCTATCTGCCTACCAACTTTTGTGGCACCCAGTGACATAAACCCCAGGCAAGCAAATGCTCGTGTCTTATTTTTCACTGACGATGTCTTTCTCCAGAATTTGGGGGTGATTATTCACCCTGAAATTGTCCTTCCCCAGTAGGTTCAAGAAAAATCATTAATTTACTGCTTGGGCAGCATTTATGTTGTATAAATGGGGACCGTATCATTACAGTTATCTATATCTCCCAGCTGAAACTATTCATAGTTTTTACACTTTTGAAGCATATCACCATTTATTTATCTCCATTTTGTTACAGCCACTCACTTTCTTTAGTTCATCCCATATTGATAGCTTTTATGTCCTACTATCATGTATTCATGTAGTTTTACTGTCACAGAACATGAAAAGATATTTAAACTATAATGAACTATTTTTAATATTAACTATACTGATATTTTAATCCATAATTTGACATAATACATTTAAAATAGAAGCCAAAAATATTCGACCTACTGGGTTTCTTTTTTTTACTATATTACTAAAACATTTTTAAAATTATCAAAGCATATCTATAGTTACTGAGGATTAACTATGTAAAAGACAGTGGCAGGGAGTAGAATGCAAACTTGCTCTGTTATGGTTTATGCTTTCAAAGAAATTAATATTGTTTACAATAACAAGGCAGAAACACATAAATACTACTGTTAAAAATCATTGAAATAACCAAACAATATCAAAAAAGTCAGAAGGTGATTTGCAAGCAACTGAGATGTTAATGAGATAAACATTGGATGCCATGAATTTACAAGACTGAGCAACTGCTGTGGACTGGAGGGAATGATACTTTGAAGCTTTATGAAAAAGAAGGTTCTTAGCCTATTTTAAATGGTAGAACTTAGAAGAACAAAGTGAAAGTGACTGAGAGAACAGAAAGAAAATAGAAGTGGAAAAAATGCATTAGATACCAAGAGGCTTAGTTTATTTAGAGCAATGAATTTATTTAAAGATAAACAATATTAGACTTTTATTAAAAATCTCCACAAATAGTCATTTAGTTTGTCTATGCGAAACTATTCAAATTCAGAAGATTTCATAGCGGCCGGGCACGGTGGCTCACTCCTGTAATCCCAGCACTTTGGGAGGCCAAGGTGGAAGGATCACAAGGTCAGGAGATCCAGACCATCCTGGCTGACACGGTGAAACCCCGTCTCTACTAAAAATACAAAAAAAATCAGCTGGGCATGGTGGCGGGCGCCTGTAGTCCCAGCTACTCGGGAGGCTGAGGCAGGAGAATGGTGTGAACCCAGGAGGTGGAGCTTGCAGTGAGCTGAAAATGTGCCACTACACTCCAGCCCTCCAGCCTGGGAGACAGAGCAAGACTCCATCTCAAAAAAAAAAAAAAAAAAAAAACAGAAGATTTGATGGTATGATGGTGTATTTTACTGGTTTTCAAACTTTTATTGAGAATTTGATTCTTTTTTTTCTCTTAACAAATGTAACGTGGAACCCTGATATATGAGACATAATGCAATAACAGCATTCTTTTAGACAGTTTGGTGGCAAGTATTATGTTTTTTAATGAATCCTTGCAGCAAAAACATGGAGGCCTGTGGTTCCACTGAGCAAAATATGAAAATTACTCTTTTACAGAAATAATCAGAGGGAATATTTATAATTTATTTTAACACAGAAAATCCCAAGGGGTGATATAACTCTACACAGTGAGAGATATGTACAAATGGGCAAATTAAGGCTCGATAGTGGAGAATAGTAAATTTATCTTTGTAGAGAATAGAAAACCATTGAAAGGTTATGAGAGACCTTTAACTAAATAAATGTTTTAGGAATATTAAGCATATTGTAAACTTTACAATGTGGTGACAAAGTTGTCTAAACAATAGTTTGGCAAAACAAGTATTAGTTTTCTTTCTTCATATATTATTTAATTTTTATTATATTAATATAACATTTGTCACAATGAACACTTGGTTTCAATGTATATCCTTTTAGTACAAAAATATCTGACAGACCGCAGAACTGCAAAGGTAAACCCAATATAACAGATACTATATTTTCACATAATGATATAAAAGCCAAATATAGACCAATATTGTCTAATATTTAAAACAATGTTTAAGGCCATATTTCAAGGCATTTAATGGGATTAGATGTAGTTTCTAATTCCAAATTCAAAGTTTCTATAAAAGTGCACCACTATGAAATTATTATTTATAAGTTTCTGAACTTGCAGACTAGTCAGACATTATGGGAACAACCAAACCTTGTTATAAACAACATGACTTTACTTACGCAGATGAGTTCCATGGCTAGAGCAAAAGCACTAATAAGGAACAGTCATCTTCTTATTAAAAATTCTTTGTACGCTTAGTGTATTTTATAGCCTTACTACAGTCATCTTTGAGGAGGTCGTATTTTATATCTTGTAAGTAGAATCCTAGGACATCCAATAATAAAACAAAGTAAAAACACATATTTAGCTTAATTTTCATCTACATTTAAGTCATTTACTGTTAAATGATTTACTAAATTGAAAATCTAACAAATATTAATGTGTTTATTAAACAAAATAACATAGCAGTTGTTACGTATTATGTTATGCAAAATAAATAAAAGAAATAGGATTTATATTTAAACCACCACATAGCTTTTGAAAAATATAAGATTGTTCTCTGTATTCAAATAAATGTAGGGCTTTTGCATAAGATGCTATTTAAAATGTATTTATTTATTTATTTTATCTAACTTTTATTTTAGGTTTGGGAGTACATGTGAAGGTTTGTTACACAGATAATCACCTGTCAAGAAGATTTGTTGTTAATATTATTTCATCACCCAGGTATTAAGCCCAGTACCTAGTAGTTATCTTTTCTGCTCATCACCCTCCTTTTCCCCTGCCCCTTCAAGTAGACCCCAGTGTCTGTTGATTCCTTATTTGTGCTCATAAGTTCTTATCATTTAACTCCAACTTATAAGTGAGAACATACAGTATTTAGTTTCCTCTTCCTGCATTAGTTTGCTAAGGATGATAGCCTCCAGTTCCATCCATGTGCCCACAAAAGACATCATCTTATTCTTTTTGCTTTTAGCTGCATAATATTCCATCGTGTATATGTACATTTTCTTTATCCAATGTGTCATTGATGGGCATGTGTGATGATTCCATGTCTTTGCTATTGTTAATTGTGCTGCAGTGAACATATGCATGCATGTGGCTTTATGGTAGAATGCTTTATATTCTGCTGGGTACACACCCAGCAATAGGATTGCTGGGTCAAACAGTAGTTCTGCTTCTAGCTCTTTGAGGAATAGCCATACTGCTTTCCACAATGGTTAAACCAATTTACACTCTCACCAACAGTGTATAAGTGTTCCCTTTTCTCCACAACATTGCCAGCATCTGTTATTATTATTATTATTATTATTATTATTATTATTATTAACAGTAGCTATTCTGACTGGTGTGAAATGGTATCTCGTCATTTTGATAGCATTTCTCTAATGATCATTGATACTGAACTTTCTTTCATATACTTGTTGGCTGCATGTCTACCTTCTTTTGAGAAGTGTCTGTTCATATCCTTTGCCCACTTTTTAATGGGGCTTGTTTTTCTCTTGTAATTTTGTTTAAACTCCTTATACTTAGACCTTTGTCAGATGTGCAGTTTGCAAATATTTTTTCCCATTCTGTAGGTTTTCTGTTTACTCTGTTGATAGTTTCTTTTGCTGTGCAGAAGCTCTTAACTTTAATTAGATCCTACTTCTAAATTTTTGCTTTTGTTGCCGTTGATTTTGTGTCTTTATCATAAAATCTGTTCCTATGTCCACGATGATTGTCTCCTAGGGTTTTTATAGTTTGAAATTTTACATTTATGTCTTTAATCCATCTTGAGTTGATTATGTGTATGGTGTAAGGAAGGGGTTTAGCTTTAATCTTCTACATATAGCTAGCCAGTTATCCCAGTACCATTTACTGAACAGGGAGTCTTTTTCCCATTGCTTGTTTTTGTCAGCTTTGTCAAAGATCAGATGGTCATAGAAGGGTGATCTTATTTTGGAGCTCTTTATTCTGTTCCATTGGTCTATATGCCTGTTTTTGAACCAGAACCATGCTGTTTTGGTTACAGTAGCCTCGTAGTATAGTCTGAAGTTGGGTAACATGAAGCCTCCAGCTTTACTACTTTTGCTTAGGATTGCCTTGGCTATTTGGGTTCTTTTTTGGTTCCACATGAATTTTAAAATAGTTTTTTCCAGTTCTGTGAAGATTGTCTTTGGTAGTTTGATAGGAATAGCACTGAATATGTAAATTGCATTGGGCAGTAAAGCCATTTTATTGGTATTGATTCTTTCTGTCCATGAGCATGAGATATTTTTCCATTTGTTTTGTGTCTCCTCTGATTTCTTTGAACAGTGTTTTGTAATTCTCATTGTAGATGCCATTCATTTTCCTCGTTAGCTGTATTCGTAGGCATTTTTTTTTGTGGCAATTGTGAATGGGATTGCCTTTCTGATTTGGCTCTCAGTTTCACTATTGTTGGTGAATAGAAATGCTAGTAATTTTTATACATTGAATTTGTATCCAGCAACTTTGCTGAAGTTGTTTATCAGCTGAAAGAGCTTTTGGCCCAAGACTGTGCGGTTTTCTAGATATAAAATTAGGTTGTCTGCAAACAGAGATAATTCAGCTTCCTCTCTTCCTATTCGGATGCACTTTGTTTTTTTTTTTCCTACCTGCTTGCTTTGGCTAGGACTTCCAATACTATGTTGAATAGAAGTGCAGAGAGAGGGCATCTTTGTCTTGTGCTGGATTGCAAGGGGAATGCTACCAGCTTTTTCCCAATCATTATAATGTTGGCTTTGGGTTTGTCATAGATGGCTCTAATTATTTTGAGGTATGCTATTAGGGTTCTCTAGAGGAACAAGACTAACAGTATACATGTATATATGAAAGGGTGTTTAAGGAGTATTGACTCACACAGTCACAAGGTTAATTCTCACAATAGGCTGTCTTAAGCTGAGGAGCAAAGAAGACAGTATGAGTCCCAAAACCTCAAAAGTAGGGAAGCCGACAGCGCAACCTTCAGTCTGTGGCCAAAGGCCCGAGATCCCCTGGCAAAGCACTGGTGTAAGCCCAAGAGTCCAAAAGCTGAAGAACTTAGAATCTGATGTTCAAGGCTGAAAGCATTCAGCACTGGAGACTCAGCCAGTCTACTCTTTCCATGTTCCTCTGCCTGCTTTTATCCTAGCTGTGCTAGCAGCTCATTAGATGGTGCCCACCAAGACTAAGGGTGGGTCTGCCTCCTTTAGACCACTGACTCCAATATTAATCTCCTTTGGCAAACCCTCACAGACACACCCAGTAACAATACTTTGCATCCTTCAATCCAATCAAGTTGACACTCAGTATTAACCATCACAGGTACTTTCCTTTAATACCTAGGTTATTGAGAATTTTTAATATGAAGGAATGTTGAATTTTATCAAAGGTCTTTTCTGTGTCTATTGAGATAAACTACATGATTATCTTGTGGTTTATTATAATTATCAACTTTGAATCCTGGGGATGAAGCCTACTTGATCATGATAGATTAGCTTTTAGATGTGCTACTGGATTTGGTTTGCAAGTATTTTGTTTAGGATTTTTGCATTGATATTCACAGAAAAATGTTGGCCTTAAGTTTCCATTTTTGTGTGTTTTGCCTGTTTTTGGTATCTAGATGATGCTAGTCTCATAGAACGACCTGGGGAGGAGTCCTTCCTCCTCAATTTTTTGGAATAGTTTCAGTAGGTATGATACCAGCTCTTCTTAGTACACCTGGTAGAGTTTGGCTGTGAATCCTTCTGATCCTGGGCTTTTTTGGTTGGTAGGCAAGCTATTTGTTATTGATTCAATTTTGGAGGTTATTATTGGTCTGTTCAGAGAATCAATTTCTTCTGGCTCAGTCCTGGGAGGATGTGTGTGTCCAGAAATTTACTCATCTCTTCTAGGTTTTCTAGTGTGTGTGCATAGAGATGCTTATCATAGTTTCTAATGACTGCTTTTATTTCTGTGCTGTCAGTAGCAACATTCCCTTTATAATTTCTAATTGTGTTTACTCGGATCTTTTTTCTTCTTTATTAGTCTATCTTGTAATTTTTTTTCAATGTAGCCAACTCTTGGATTTGTTGATCTTTCGAATGTTTTTTTTTTTGTGTGTTAATTTCCTTCAGTTAAGCTCTGATTTTTGTTATTTCTTGTCTTCTGCTAGCTATGGGGTTGATTTGTACTTGTTTCTCTAATTCTTTCAGTTGTAAAGTTAGGTTGATAATTTGAGATCTTTCTAACTTTTTGGTGTGTGCATTCAGTGCTAGGAATTTCCTTCTTAACACTGCCTTAGCTATGTCCCAGAGATTCTGGTATGTTGCATCTTTGTTCTCATTATTTTCAAATAACTTCTTGATTTCTGCCTTAATTTCATTATCTACCCCAAAGTCATTCAGGAGCATGCTGTTTAATTTGCAACTTTTATAATCTTGACTTTTGTTTCTATGGTGCTGTGTTCTGAGAGTGTGTTCTGTATGATTTTGGCTCTTTTATATTTGTTGAGGATTATTGTGTGCCCAATTATGTGATCAATTTTAGCATATATTCCACGTCATGATGAGAAGAATGTATATTCTTTGTTTTTGAGTGAAGAGTTCTGTAAAGGTCTATCAGATCCATTTGCTCCAGTGTTGAGTTTAGGTCCTGATATGGTCTGACTCCGTGTACCAACCCAAATCTCATCTTAAATTGTAATCTGAATTGTAATCCCCATGTTTTGGGGGAGGGACCTCCTGGGATGTGATTAGATCATGGGGTGGGCTTTCCATGCTGTTCTCATGATAATGAGTGAATTCTCGTGAGATCCAGTGGTTTATAAGGGGTTTTCCCCACTTTGTTCATTCTTCTCCTTCCTGCCACCATGTGAAGAAGAACGTGTTTGCTTCCCCTTCTGCCATAATTGTAAATAAGTTTCCTGAGGCCTCCCCAGCCCTGCGAAACTGTGAATCAATTAAAACTTTTTCCTTTATAAATTACTCAGTCTCAGGTATTTCTTCATAGCAGCACCAGAAAGGACAAATAAAGGTCCTGAATATCTTTGCTAATTTTTGGCCTCAATGATCTGTCTAATACTGCCAGTAAAGTGTTGAAGTCTCTCAGTAATATTGTGTGAGAGTCTATGTCTCTTTGTAGGTCTCTGAGAACTTGCTTTATGAATCTGAGTGCTCCTATGTTGGGTGTATATATATTTGGAATAGTTAAGTCTTGTTGTTGAATTGAACACTTTACATTATGTAATGCCTTTCTTTGTCTTTTTTGATCTTTGTTGGTTTAAAATATGCTTTGTCTGAAATTAGAATAGCAACCTCTGTTTTTTTTCTGTTTCATATTTGCTTGGTATATTTTTCTCCATCCCTGTATTTTGAGTCTATGAGTGCCATTACCTGTGAGATAGATCTTTTGAGGATACCACTGGGTCTTGCTTTTATAACCAGCTTGCCACTCTTTGCCTTTTAAGTGGGGATATTTAACCCATTTGCATTTAAGATTAGTATTGATATGTGTGGATTTGATCCCGTCATTGTGATGTTACCTAGTTATTATGTTGACTTGTTTGTATGGTTACTTTAAAGTATCACTGGTCTGTGTGTTTAAGTGTGGCTATTTATTAGCTGGTACCAGTCTTTCCTTTCCATATTTAGTGGTCTTTTCAAGATCTCTTGTTAAGCAGGTCTGGTGATAATGAATTCCCTCAACATTTGCTTATCTGGGGAGGTTCTTATTTCTCCTTCACTTAGGAAGCTTAGTTTGACTGGATATGAAATTCTTGGTTGAATTTTTTCTTAAGAATGTTGAATATAGGCCCCCAATCTATTCTGGCATTAGGGTTTCAGCTGAGAAGTCTGCTGTTAGCCTGTTAGGGTTCCCTTTGTAGGTGACCTGCTCTTTCTCTCTGGCTGCCTTTAACATTTTTTCTTTCATAGCAACCTTAGAAAATATGATGACTATGTGCCTTGGGCATGATCTTCGTGTGTAGAATCTTGCAGGAGTTACCTGCATTTCTTGAATTTGACAGTTGGCCTCTCTAACAATGTTAGGGAAGTGTTCACGGATAATATTCTGAAATATGTTTTCCAAGTTGTTTGCTTTCTCCCCCTCTCTTTCAGGAATGCCAATAATTCATAGATTTGGCATTTTTATATAATCCCATACTTCTTGGAGGTTATGTTCACTTTTTTATTCTTTTTTAAACTTTTATCAGATCGTCTTATTTCTGAGAACACGTCTTTAAGTTCTAAGATTCTTTCCTCAGCTTGGTTTATCCTGCTGTTAATACTTGTGATAGCATTGTGAAATTCTTGTATTGTGTTATTGAGCTCTGTCAGACCCATTAGGAATTTTTTTTAATCAGCTATTTTTTCCTTTAGCTTCTCTGCCACTGCCTCTGCAGTGGAACTTCCCTTGCCACTCTCAGAATAAAGAAGTATTAAAGATCCTAAGTATTTTTTTAACACCTCCAACAAGCTACAGTCAACCAAAGTAGAAGAGGCTAGTCCATCTCCCACAGGTCCCACACATATCCCACTGCTAGTAACAAGACAGGAAATCCCTGTCTTGGGCCCAGAGCACAGACCCTCCATCCTGGGTGAATTACACTGAGCAATTGGTTACTTGCACCTCTCTGGGGTGGAAACTCTGAGAGACAGGCTAACAACCCTCTACCACAACCACTGCTAAAATTTCTTCCTCTGCTGCCTCTAAAGTGGGGGAAGAAACATAAACATTGAGATTACCTCAGAGCTGCAATGGGCAGTCCAGGAGTGCCATGTAAGGATCTACAGCCAGCAATCAAAGGAAAGAAGAACCGACACTTTCAGAGCATTGAGAGGGAACATGGTTGCAACTGTGAGAATACAGGGTAGCCATACAGCTAAGAAACATTCTATCAAATGACCAATAAGCCTATATACTACCTCTAGATTATACCCCAAAGCTTCAACACCAAAAATACCTCACTAATATCCACCCCTCTGAAACCAGAGACAAGAAGGCAGCTTCAAATAAAGACCCTGCACAAAGCCTGAGACCAGTGAAAACATTCAGAAAATAAGGCGATTGATTTACTCAATCAACACTGCAGATAAAGGAGCACCCACACACAGATATGAGAAAGAACCAATGCAAGAACTCTAATAACTCAAATGGCCAGAGTGTTGTATGTCCTTCAAATGACTGCACCAGTTCTTTAACAAGAGTTCTTAACCAGGCTAAACTGGCTGGAATGACAAATAGAATTCAGAATATGGATAGAAACAAAGATCATTGAGATTTATAAGGACAGCAAAACTTGACCCAAGGAAAATAATAATCATAATAAAGCAATCCAAGTGTATTTTATAACACATTCTAATGAACTCTTTCGGGTTATACTATTTTTTAATAAAAATTAAGAGAAGTTTTTTGTTGTTGTTCTTTCTCTGTAAGTAGAAATTAATCAGACATTTTTAAATTTTTAATCATTTACTTTAAGACAACAAAGATGTAGCCCATTAATTAATGAGGATTTTTATAAACAAATCTTGAAGCAATAAAAAACTAAATAGGAGTTCACATTTAAAAAGCAATAACAGATTAAATCTGTTTTTCGAGTTGCTTTACTCAGGCTATTTTCTGTGCTTCTGCTCCTTTGTGAACATATGCTGCTTCATTCTGACTGAAAAGCTTAAATGAAGCACCTTAAAGAAGGGGCATGAAGAATATAAAGAAAATTGTGTATAAAGACTAAATGTCTTTTTCGGGTGCTTTTTAAAAGAATTTTATTTAAAATCATTCTACCAATGACATTTTTTTTCAGGTATTTAAAAGATATAGAATTATTTTCAGTATTAAAGGACACTATCTGTATTTGTAACTATGATAAAAGGGTCATCTCTTGTGGTTAATAACACCAATTATCTTTTAAATACATTATAGAAAATTAAAAATATATCATCACCAATTTGCCTATAAATGTTTTTCTTTATTCAATAGTGGTGTTTATTAATTGGTACAAATCTCTTTATTTTCAGAGCAATAAAAGCATGAAAAACTTTATTTTTAAAAGAATCTTTCATCATAAACCTCAGCTATACCATTACTAATAACTTTGACAAATATACTTTATTATAAACCTGTAAATGCCTAATACTGTGCAATTAAAATAATTTTGTATCATTATTCTTGCTAGCAAAATAGCTTTTCATTTTTTGTTCAACATGAGAAAAATAATAAGTGTTTTGAACTGAAGAAAGATCTCATTATAGTTTACTAAGAAGACAATATTGTATTTGTTACAACCTTGATAGAACTAATGAAAAGAAGTACATGGGACTTGGCTATTACCTATCAGTTCAGCAACATGTGATAATATGTATTTAATTAATTATATCTAAGGTTCACATCTATTAATATCTTACTTCTGGCTCTGCACTAATTAGCTATTCACATTTAGTCATGCTACTAACAATTTTGTGTCCTAAATTTTTCCAATTGTAAAATTAAGAAGCATCTCAAGTTCTGCTCCCTTTATAAAACTTTATGATCTATGGTGAATAATTATAGGTAAACATTTAAACTGAATTTTCTTTTCACTTTCGAAAACATTTTTTCCATAAAGTTGTTTGTCACCACTTTATAGGCTTTTATTATGCAATGCAAGTTTTAGAGAAGTCAAATATCTCATTTTATACGTCTTTGCTAAATTTTAAGTGGTGTCACAAAGTGCTGCATTAATTTATAATTTTTCATACTTATCAAGGTATTTCCTGTGCAAGTACAAGTGATGGCTAAGATTAGTACAATATATAGTCCTGTATAATTTTTCTGTTAAAATCTGTCTTTATAAAAATATTATATTTTGACATGCAGAGTCAAATATAAGGAAAGAAGATAAAAAAATACATACTACTGGGATAAAAGTTAACTTTAAGTATGTTTAACTGTCAGTCATCATAGTCTAATTACATTCTGGCTTTCCTTATAGATTAATTCATCCCAGCTATGGGAAAAAAGATTTTGTTATATCTGTTTTAAAATTCTAATTCAGAAGACAAAAGTATAACTTTTTTTGAAACTGGTTTCTAGGTTTTTTTAAAAAAAATTTTTTTATTAATATGATTCTTCAAAATTTACTTTTCTGAAAGTCACAGAAGTTACATTGGGTCCATAGCCCCAGAACTTATCAGTTTAGTTAATTAAGAGGGTTCCATCCTATTTTCCAGGTACAAATTTGTTTTTATCGATCTTTGCAAACAGGTATAGATGTAATAATAGTACATTATCTAATTAACATTTTCAATCTAGTAATAGAATATTTAATCACATTTTTTTGCTTCTTTTTAAGTTGAGATTTTAAGTAGGATAAAGCCAGATGCAAAATATATTTTTCTTCAAATTTCAAAGTAGGAGAAATAATATTTAAAATTTGCCTGGAAAACCATGAGCATTTCTAAAGTAATTTAATACTGAAATAATAGAAAGTTGAATGGTTAAGAAAAACAATAAGACAACTAGAAAATAGAGCTGGGCACGGTGGCTCATGCCTGTAATCCCAACACTTTCGGAGGCCAAGGCAGGCAGATCACCTGAGGTCAGGAGTTCAAGACCAGCCTGGCCAACATGGTGAAACCCTGCCTCTACTAAAAATACAAAAATTAGCCCGGCCTGATGGCAGGTGGCTGTAATCCCAGCTATTTGGGAGGCCAAAGCAGAAGAATCGCTTGAACCTGGGAGGCAGAGGTTGCAGTTAGTGGAGATCGCACCGCTGCACTCCAGCCTGGGTGACAGAGACAGACTCTGTTTAAAAAATAAACAAATACATACATACATACATACACACATACATACATAAATAAAAACAAGAAAAAACAAAGGAAAAGAAAAGGAATACTACAAAATAATGTTTAAAAAATTGTTTTTGTTGCCTGTGCTTTTGGCATCATATCCAAAAAATTTTTGCCAAGACCAATTTCAAGAAGCTCTTTATGTTTTCTTCAAATAGTTTTATGGTTTCATGTCTGACATTTAAGTTTTTATTCAATTTTTAGTTGATTTTTTTGTATGATGTAAGATACAGGTCCAATTTTACTCTTTTGCATGGAAATTATTAGTTTTCCCAGCACCATTTATTGAAAAGACTATTCTTTCCCATTTATGTATTCTTGGTACATTTGTCAAAGATTAGTTGATAGTGTATGCATGGGTTTATTTCTGGAGTGTCTCTTCTGTTCCACTGGTCTATGTGTCTGTTTTTATGCCAGTATCACGTTGTTTCAATTATTATAGCTTTGCAATACAATTTGAACTCAGGAAGTGTGATGCCTCAAGCTTTTTTTTTTTCTTTTTCTCAAGATTGCTTTGGTTATTCAGGGTGTTTGTGATTCCATATTAATTTTAGGATTATTTTTAGTATTCCTTTGAATAATGCCATTGGGATTTTGATAGGAATTGTTTTGAATCAAAAGATTGCTTGAGGTAGTATAGACAATTGTTTTTCTTTCCTCCTTTTTTTTTTCTTTTTAAATTCTGAGACAGGATCTTACTCTATTGGCCATGCTGGTCTCCTGATGTTATAAATGTTAAAATTATGTATTTTGACCATTTTAATCAGACTGCGTATATTTTGGCTATTGAGTTATTTTAGTACCTTGCATATTCTGGTTATTAGTCCCTTGTCAGATGGGTAGTTTGCAAATATTTTCTACCATTCTGTGGGTTGTTTCTTCACTTTGTTGATTTTTTTTCATTTACCGTGCAGTAGCTTTTTTACTTGATGTCATTACATTTGTCAATTTTTGCTTTGGTTGACCGTGTTTGTTTGGTGTCGCTCAAAAAATGTTTGCCCAGACCAATGTCTTGGAGATTTTCCCCAATGTTCTCTTGTAGTAGTTTCACGGTTTGAGGTTTTAGATTTAAGTCTTTAATCCCTTTGGTTTGATTTTTGTACATGGTGAGAGATAGAGTTCTAGTTTCATTTTTTTGCATATGCATATCCAGATTCCCCAGCATCATTTATCGATGAGGGTGTCTTTTCTCCAGTTTATGTTCTTGGCACTATTGTTGAAAATGAGTTCACTGTAGGTGTGTGGATTTGTTTCTGGATTCTCTACTCTGTTCCATTGGTCTACATGTCAGTTTCTATGCTAGTAGCATGCTGTTTTGTTTACTATAGCTTTGTAGTTGCTATGTCTATGAAGAATATCATTGGTATTTTGATAGGGATTGCACTGAATCTGTAGGTTGCTTTGGTCAATATAGACATGTTAACAATTTTTCTACCAAACCATGAACATGGAATATCTTTGCATTATTTAGTTTCCTTTTCATTTTGTTCATCAGTGTTGTATAGTTTTTATTATAGATATCTTTCACTTCTTTGGTTAATTCCTAGGTATTTAATTTGATGTTTGGTTATGGTAAATGTGATTACTTTTATAATTTCTTTTTCAGATTGTTCACTGTTTACATATAGAAATGCTACTGATTTTTGTGTTTTTTATTCCTCAACTTCAGTGAATGTGTTTACTAGTTCTAATAATTGTTTTTTGTTTTGTGGAGTCTTTAGGATTTTCCTAATATAAGGACATATCATCTGCAAACAAGGATAATTTAACTTTTTCCTTTAAAATTTATATGTATTTTATTTATTTCCATCTTATTGCTTTAGCTAGGATTTCTACCACTATGTTGAATAACATTGATGACAACAAACATCCTTGTCACGTTCTACATCTTAGAGGAAAATATCAGCTGTTTCCCATTCAGTATACTAGCTGTGGCACTGTCACATATGGCCCTTATTTTGTTGAAATGTATTTCTTCTTTTCCTGATGCTTTTGGGATTTTTATCATGAAGTGATTTTGAATATTATCAAATCATTTTTCATTATCTGTTGAAATGATCAGCACTTTGAGAGGCTGAGGCATCAGGATTGCATGAGCCCAGGGGTTTGAGACCAGCCTGGGCAACATAAGGAGACCCTGTCTCTACAAATAATAGAAATTAAAATAACATTTAAAAAAATCATATATTTTTTGTTCTTCATTCTGTTGATATGAGATATCACATTGATTGACTTGCATATGTTGAATCATCCTTGCATCCCAGGAATAAATCCTACTTGGTCATGATAGATGACATCTTTTCAATGTATTGTTTAATTTTGTTTAACAATATGTTATTGGAAATTTTTGCATCCATATCATCAGAGATATCGGCTTTTTATTTTCTTTCTTTGACCTTTTTTTAATCTGGTTTTGGGATCAGTGTAATATTGGCCTTATGGAAAGAGTTTAGAAATATTCCCTTCTCTACTTTTAAGAATAGTTTGAATAGAATTGGTATTAGCTCTAAAATGTTGGTGGAATTCAGAAGTGAATCCCTCAGGTTGAGGACTTTACCTTGCTGGGAGGCTTTTTATTATAGCCTCAATCTAGTAACTTGTTACTTTTCTGTTTAGGTTTTGGATTCCTACCTGGTTCAATCTTGGTAGGTTGTATGTGTCTACCATTTTGTATATTTTTTCTAGATTTTCCAATTTATTGCATATAGTTGCTGATAGCAGCCACTAATAATCCTTTGAATTTTAGAGTATCTGTTGTAATGTCTCCTTTTACATATCTGATTTTATTTATTTGGATCTCCTCTCTTTTTTTAGTTACTATGGCTAAGTGTTTGTCAATTTTGTTTAACTTTCCAAAAAACTCCACAATTTTTATTTCATTGATCCTTTGTATTATATTTTTCATTGCAATTTTATTTATTTTTATTTATTTTAAATTCTTTTAATTTTTAATTTTTTGGCTACATAGATGTATATATTAATGTGGTACATGAGATGTTTTGATATATGCATGCAATGTGAAATAAACACACAATTAAGAATGGGGTAGCCATCTCATCAAACATTTATCCATTGAGTAACAAACAATACAATTGTAGTCTTTGGGTTATTTTAAAATGTATCAATTTCATTTTTTCTTCTTTGATCATTATTATTTTTTCTTCTACTAATTTTGGATTCAGATTGCTCTTGCTTTTCTAGTTTTTAATATGCATTATTAAAATAATGCGTTTTTTACTGACGTTTTTATTTTTATTTTTTATGTGGGCACTTATAGCTATACATTTCCCTCTTAGTTCTGCTTTTGCTGTATCCCATAGGTTTTTGGTATGCTGTGTTCTATTATCATTTGTTTCAAGACGTTTTTCAATTTCCTTCTTAATTTCTTCCTTTGCTCACTGTTCATTCAGGAGTATATTGTTTCATTTTTATCTATTTTTATAGTTTCCAAAGTTCCCTTATTTATTTCTAGTTTTATTGCATTGTGGTCAGAGAATATGCTTGATATTATTCCAATTTTTTGAATGTTTTAAGACTTGTTTTCTGATCTAACGTATGGTATGTCCTTGAGAGTGAGCCACATGCTGAGGAAAAGTGTGTTTTCTTTTGTCATTGCATATAATGTTCTGTAAATATCTATTAGGTCAATTTGGTCTACACTGCAGACTAAATTTGGTGATTGTTTGTTGATTTTCTGTATGAAAGATGTATCCAATGCTGAAAGTAGCGTGTTGAAATCTCCCACTATTATTGTTGAAAATATTTGACTTATATATCTGTGTGCTCCAGTGTTGGGTACCTGTATTTTTTAAGTTGCCATATCTTCTTGCTGAATTGACCCTTTTATCATTTCATAGTTTCCTTCTTTGTCTCTTCTTACAATTTTTGTCTTGAAATCTATTTTGTCTGATACAAGCATAGCTAACCCTGCTCCTCTTTGGTTTCCATTGACATGGAATATCTTTTTCAATTTTTTTGTTTGTTTGTTTGTTTGTTTAGTCTATGTGTGTGTTGATAGGTGCAGTGTGTTTCTTGTAGGCAACAACTAAATGGGTATATTTTAAATCAGTTTAGCCACTCTATTTCTTTTGATTGAAGACTTTAGTCCATTTACATTTAATGCTATTATAGATAAGTAAGAATCTACTCCTGCCATTTTGTTATTTGTTTTCTTGTTACTTTGTGATCTTCTCTTCCTTATTTTCTTCCTGTTTTCCTTTTAATAAAGGTGATTTCCTTTGGTGATATAAGTTAGTTTCTTGCTTTTTATTTGTTGTATATCCATTCTATATATTTTTGTTTGAGGTTAACATTTGGCTTATAACCAATTGTTTTCAATGATAACAAGGTAACACTGCATAAACAAACAAAGAAAAACATGCAAAAACAAAACCAAAAAAGACTAACTTCATCCCTCTGGTTTTTAACATTTTGTTGTTTCTATTTATATTTTATTGTACTGTGTCTGTCTTGAAATGTTGTTATAGTTATTATTTTTCATTGGTTCAGCATTAAGTCTTTCTACTTAAGTGTAGTTTACACACCACAGTTATATTATTATAATATTATGTGATGTTTTTGTGTACTTACTATTACCAGTGAGTTTTTTACCTTCAGATGATTTCTTATTGCTTGTGAACATTCTTTTCTTTCTGACTGAAGTACTTTCTTTAGCATTTCTTGTAGGACAATTCTGTTATTAATGAAATCTCTCAGCTTTTGTTTGTTCATGAACATCTTTACTTGTCATTCATATCTGAAGCATAGTTTTGCCAGATATACTATTCAAGGCTAAAAGTTTTTCTTCAACACTGTAAATATGTCTGACCACTCTCTTTTGGCCTGTAAGATTTCCACTGAAAAGTCTGCTGCCAGATGTATTGGAGCTCCATTGTATGTTATTTGTTTCTTTTCTGTTGTTGCTTTTAAGATTCTTTTGTTATTTTTGACCTTCGGAAGTTTGATTATTACATGCCTTGAGTAGTCTTTAGGAAAAATCTGCGTGGTATTCCACAACTTTCTTGTACTGGGATATTCATATATTTTTCTAGGTTTGGAAAGTTCTCTATTATTATCCTTTTGAGTAAGTATTAATTTTAGTCTTCACTATCTGGGCTTATTTGTACCCATTCTTCTGTGGAAGGCTTTCCAGATATTAGAAAAAACTTGAGTGTTGTGATCTAAGCTGAATCTGCCTAAGTCTATATGCCAAGCCCAGTAACACTGTGGTTCTTGCAGACTAGTAGATGTACTACCTTGATGGTCTTGAGCAAGATCCAAAAGAATTCTCTGGTTTACCAGGCAGAAACTGTTGTTCCCTTCTCTTACTTTCTCTCAAATGAACGCAGTCTCTTTCTCCGGTCTGAGACACCTGGAGCTAAGGGTGTTGTGACAAGAGGACCCTGGCGGCCATCACCACTAGAACTGTACTGGGTTAGATCTGAAGCCAGCACAGCACAGAGTCTCACTCAAGGCCTATGGTAATCGCTTCTTGGCTTCAGTCTATGTTTGCTCAAGGCCTTGGGACTCTACAATCAGCAGGCAACAAAGCCAGTCTGGTCTTTGTCCTTCCCTTCAGGGAGGTGAGTTCTCCTCAGTGCCAGGTGGGTCCTTAGGTGCTGTTCAGGAGTCAGAGACTAGAGCCAAAAACCTGTCCTGTGACTTATCCTTCAGCATAGTGGGCTGCCCTCTGGCCCCAGACAACTCCAGAAATGAAGTCTAAGAGTAAAGGCCTGAAATTTGGGACCCCAGGTGTCTGCTTGGTGCTATACCCCACTGTGGCCATGTTGGTACGTTAGGTGCAAGACTTTTTTCTCTGCTTTTCTCAAGTTTACGGAGTCTCATCCCATAGCCATCCCAGCTGGGAATGTGCTGAGTCTCACCTGAAGCCAGCAAGTGTTAGAGTTTCACCCAAAGCCCTTGACATAGTACTTGGGAATTTCCTCTGATTATTCAGGGCCCAAGTGCTCTTTGGTTAACAGATGATAATCCTTCCCAGAACTGGGTCTTTCCCTTCAAGAAAGTAGGTTCCCTTCTGGCCCAGGGTGTGTCTAGAAATACCAGGAAGTAGGATCTGGAAATGTCCAGGAAGTAGGGTCTAAAATGACTGATGCTCTAACCTGCTGTAGTTGAGCTGGTGTCTAAGGTACAAGACAAAATCTTCCCTACTATTCCCACTCTTCTCCTTAAGTGGAGAGAAGGGGTCACTGTTGGAGCCATGAGCTGTGCAGCCTGGGCTTGGGGGAAGGCTGGTACCAGCACTCCCTTAGCTGCTCCTGCTGGTGTATCAGTAGATTTAGCCCACCTAACCCAGCCCACTGTCTCTGGGCCCAGTTCAGCACTCGGACTTGTAGTCCTTGTGGCAGTCTCTATTCAAGTATATTTATGATCCCAGAGCACTTTAGCCCACAATGGCAAGGCTCGTGGAAACTCAAGTTTGGTCCACTGGGATTGGTGATTCCCCTCTTACTAAAACTGATTTAAATGCTCCCTTCCTGGGCGGGTGGCAGCTGAATTGGTATGGTTTTGTTTTCTGCTATAACAGGTCAGCACTAAGTCAGTCCTCTCTCTGCTGTGCACAGAAACACTCCGCACCATGCAGCCACTGCTGATGTATGGGGGAGGGGTGGCATCAGCAATCCAAGGCTGTTTTTTCTACATCTTCAGTGCTTCTTTCAGTGATATGAAATAAAAAGCAGGTACTGTGAGTGCTCACCTGATTTTGGGTTATTATGAAGGTGCTTCTCTTGTGTAGATAGTTGTTAAATTGGTTTCCTTGCCAGGAGGATGATCAACGAAGCCTTCTCTTTTGTAATCCTGAGCCACCTCTCTCCCTCCTTCATGTTTCTTGACCTGTAAAAGTTATGTCATCTGAAAACAGGGCAATTTAACTTTTTCTGTTTTAATTTGGAAACCTTTTATTTCTATTTCTCATATAATTTTTCTGGCTAGGACTTTTAGTTCTATGTTCAATTGAATTGGAGAGCATAGACATCCTTGCGTTGTTCCTGATTTAGAGAAAATGCTTTCAGCTTTTTATGATTGAATGTAATTCCAAAAGCACAGACAACAAAAGCAAACATAAACAAATGGTATTACATCAAACTAAAAAATTTTGCACAGTAAAGGAAACATTCAACAAAATGAAAGGTCAAGCAACTAAATGGGAGAAAGTATTTTCAAATCATATATCTGACAAGGGATTGATATTCAAAATATAAGAGAAACATCTATAATTAAATAGCAAAAAAAATCAGCTGATTAAAAAATAGGCAAAGAATCTGAGTAGACAGTGAGCTAAAGAAAACATACAAATGGCCAACAGGTCATTGTATATTGTATGGATATGAAAAGGTGCTCAATCAAGCAGCATCATTAATCGCTAGAAAAATCAAAATTACAATGGAATATAACCTCACATCTAGTATCAAACAGTCAAATAGTGACAAGTGTTGGCAGGGATGTAGAGAAAAGTGAGAACTTGTATTCTGATGGGATTGTAAACTGGTACAGTTATTTTGGAAAACAGTATAGAGGATCCTCAAAAACTTAAAATAAATATATATTTAAGGAAATTGCAATCTGTATGTGAAAAAGGTATCTGCACTCCTATGTTTATTGTAGCATTGTTTACAATAGTTAAAATAGGGAAACAACCTAAGTGTTTGGTAATGGATGAATGGATAAAGAAAATGATATATATATATATATATATATATATACAATGAAATATTATATACATACATATGTATATATATGTATACATATACATGAAATATATATATGAAATACATATATACATGTATAAATAAATACATGTATACATATACATGAAATATATATATACAATGAAATATACAATGAAATATTATTCAGCCTTATAGAAGAAAAAACCTTGTCATTTGCCAAACCATGGATGAAACTAGAGGATGTTATGTTAAATGAGATAACTCAAACACAAAAAGACAAACACTGCATGATCTCACTTTTATATGGAATTTGAAATTGAACTCATAGAAACATGGCAGAAAGGTGGTTGCCAGGGGCTGAGGAGTGAGAAAAATGAGAACATTTTGGTCAAAATGTTTGAAATCTTAAGTTGAGTAATTCTGAAGATCTAATACACAACATAGAAACTACAGTTAACGAAAATATATTGTATATTTGAAATTAATTAAAAAGTAGATGTTCAGTGTTCTCACCGCAAAAAATGCTAACTACATAATATGATGTATATGTTAATTTTGGTAATCACTTTGTATTGTATGCATATATCAAAGGATTACATTTTACATTTTAAATATATGTAATTTGTATTTGTCAGTTACATGTCAAGAAAGTTGGGAAAAAGATTTTTAAAATGTTAAGTGTTGGTGGCTGGGTGCAGTGGCTCATGCCTGTAATCCCAGCACTTTGGGAGGACGAGGCAGGTGGATCACCTGAGGTCAGGAGTTCGAGGTCAGCCTGGCCAGCCCCATCTCTACTAAAAATAAAAAAGAAATAGTTGGGCGTGGTGGCACATGCCTGTAATCCCAGCTACTTGGGAGACTGAGGCCGGAGAATCCTTGAACCCAGGAGGCGGAGGTTGCAGTGAGCCGAGATCACACCACTGCCTGGGTGACAGAGCGAGACTCCGTCTCAAAAAAAAAAAAAAAAAAAGTATTGGTGAGAATGTGGAAAAAAGAAAGCTTTTGTAAATTGTTTGCAGAGATTTAATTGGTACAGACATTATGGAAAACAGTATAGGGCTCCCTCATAAAATTAAAATTAAAACTACTATGTGATACAGCAATTCCACTACTGAGTATATATCCAAAATAATTTAAATTAGAATCTTGAATAGATATTTGCATTCCCATGTTTATTACATCATTATTTACAATAGCTAAGTTATGAAAACAACATAAATGTCAATTGGTGGATGAATGCATATAGAAAATGTGGTATATACATTCAATGGAATTATCACTCAGCCTGAAAAAAATATTGCAATATGTAGCAATGAAGATGAACCTTGAAAACATGCTAAGTGAAATGGGCCAGATGCAAAAAGGCAAATAGTGCATGATCTCAGATGTGGAATCGAAATAGTCAAGATCATAAAAGCAGAGTAGAATGGTGATTGCCAGGTGCTGGAGGAAGGAGGAGATGGGGAAATGTTTGCTAAAGGGTACAAAATTTCAGTTATGTAAGATAAATCTTTTCGAGAGATCTATGGTTTAGTACCTATAGTTAATAATACTGTATTATACTTAAAATTTACGCTAAATGTTATTACTCTGAAATAAATAACAAAGGGTGCAGGAGAAAGCTTTCAGAGGTTGTTCTGGCTACGATTTTTAGTACTAGGAGTAATGCCAAATATGTCTATGGCCTTGATAGTGGTAATGACTTCATGGGGTTATACATATCCTCCACTTCATTGAATTATATCCATTAAGTATGTATGGCTGTTTACATATCAATCATACCTAAATAAAGTAGTTTAAAATTTGAGGAGTTTTAAATTTCAAGTTAATTAAAAATATACTAAGATTGGTGATGTATTATCTACCTCTTAAAAAAAATTACATTTCATACAATTTAAAATCACAGAGACAAAGCTCTTCTGGCATTTCATAAGAAAAAGCAGCTTAAATTATGAAAAGTAGTTCCATTATCGCACCCTTCTAGTTGATAAAAACATTTTGTTTTTTGCTATAGGAGAAAATCTCAGCTCTTATACTACCCGTAATTAAAACATTTTTGAAAATGAATCTGAAAATTTTCCTTATGTTTAAACACTTTTAAATATCAGTTGTCAAATTGTCAGAGAAGCAGAGTCTTCCCAGCTTCTATTAATACATACATCTTCTGGTTTTGGCATGAATATTGCAGTGAGTTTTCTGAATGTTCTGTAACTGGGAATGGTCTAAATCAAGCTTGCCCAATCTGCCACCTGCGGGCCGCATGCAGACCAGGACGGCTTTGAAAGCAGCCCAACACAAACTAGTAAACTTTCTTAAAAGATTATGAAATTCTTTTGTAATTTTAAAAAACTCATCAGCTATTGTTAATATTTGTGTATTTTATGTGTGGCCGAAGACAATTATTCTTCTTCCAATGTCATTCAGGGAAGGCACAAGATTGAACACCCCTGACATTTTCCTTGAACACTAAACTATTATGTGGACTGTTATACAGAGAAGAGAAACGCTTTCAGCTTTGACAGTGTAAGTTTCCAAGTCTAAATGTTGTCTTGAAGATAGGTGAATTTAAATCAGAAGAAGTCTTTTACTAGTAATGAAAATAAAATGGAATCGTTTATTGGATCTTTTGCATTTCATAGCATTTTCGATGCATTTCAGTTGCTCATTATTTTAATGACTCCTACCTCATTAATATTTAGCCTGAAATTTTGAGAAATGCATGTTTTTCCTTTTTAAAAACATAATACATATTTTGGCTCCAAATTTGAATTGATTGTATATTGTGCTGTTAATCTGCATATTAAAGCATCATTAATATAATAGTACAAAGAAATTTTTATATGGTACTATTCTTAACTATCGAGATGCACAGAAAGACTGATTCTATAAACAGCTCGAATTACTCATTATGATCGCAAGGGAAATGTTACAACAATCTTATTAACATTGATCACATTCAAAGGTGCTTGAAAGAATACAATATTAACACGTGCCAACTTTTTTTCCTTTAATTTTTAAAATTTTTTGTGGGTACATAGTAGGTACATATATTTATGGGGTACAGGAGATGTTTTGATACAGGCATGCAATGTGAAATAATCACATCATTGAGAATGGGATATCCAACTCCTCAAGCATGTATTCTTTGAGCTACAAACAATGCAATTATAATCTTATTTAAAATGTACAATTGGCCCGGCACTGTGGCTCATGCCTGTAATGCCAGAACTTTGGGAGGCCAAGGCCTGCAGATCACCTGAGGTCAGGAGTTCAAGACTAGCTTGGCCATCATGGCAAAACCCCATCTCTACTAAAGATACAAAAATTAGCTGGGCATTGTGGTGGGTGCCTGTAATCCCAGCTACTCGGGAGGCTGAGGCAGGGAGAATGGCTTGAACCCAGGAGGCGGAGGTTGCAGTGAGCCGAGATTGCACCACTGCACTCCAGCCTGGGCAACAGACCAAGACTCTGTCTCAAAAGAAAAAAATAAAATAAAAAGAAATAAAAATAAAATGTACAATTAAGCTATTATTCACTATAGTCACCCTATTGTGCTATCAAATAGTAGGTCTTATTCTATTTTTTAATGAAACTATTGTTAAGGTAATCAGAGTGATTTTTTAAAAATCATGAAAAGAATAATCATAGTCTATTGTACATTTATTTACAGAATAGTTCCATTTATATTTGAGGTATCAAAAGTAGTTGACAATGTATGACAAAATAATTATAGGTACAAATTTATAAAAGCTGACTGACTAAAGGAGAAAATAATTTTGCTTGCTGATGACATTGTAACTGGTTTATTATCATTAAAACACTTTTAGTATGAATAATAAATCTATTGAATTTTGGCATTAGTTATTACCTTTAGAAGGTCACATGCTGTTCCATTTCACATTTTAAAAACTCCATGTACAAACATACAAACTTACAAAGCTTTTAAGCAGGTCAATTTTTGTGGATTCTTCCTTCCACGAAAAAAATGCATTTTATTTTAGCTAAAATCACTCCTTTCTGTACCACCCCAAGCATTGAATATATCTTTAGAATTTTGCCATAAAATATTTCTGAACTATTTCTGCAGTGTAGCATAAATTGTACCTCTACCCAGGAAATGATTTGACTACTACAAACTGGAGGCATTATGGAAGTTAAACCATTTAGCCTGCTAAAAATGACTGCAGATATAGCACATTTGATGTAGATAAAGAAGAGCATGCTTAAGTTTGAAACTGCATATTACCATTTGCAAGCACTGTGAAATTGTGCAAATGAATTTACCTTTCTCTCAGCTTCAATTGAATCACATATAAAATATTCTCCCTAACTTAGAAGATGATTAATAGTTTTAGAGGTGGTAATATTTATCAAAGTGCCTAGTGCAGTTGTTGGTGAATAGTAAGAATTCAGCCACTTTAAAAATCTAAATGTAAGTAAGTTATAAAGTTCAATATACCACTTAATAATACCAAATCCATGAATTTTGGTTACATAGTAGGACAGTTTCAAAAATGCTAAGATGAAGTAATTTCTTATTAAATATTAGGCAATTAAGTTTCATAAAAAACATATTACAACATATGGTACAGCTATGTCATAATTTGTGACCCGTATGATCTATTATTTTGTGTTTTCATTATCACTGACTAATTTAAATCTATAAATTCAAGATGTTTTGGAACTCTAGATCAAATGTAAAGTACCTTTAAATTCTCTTTCAGATAGGATGAACTAGTTATCATATAAGATATAGAATTTGAGGAGGTTTTTTTAATAAACTACTCAATAGATCAGTTGAAGTTTTACAATTGAAAATGTGTGAATTCATGGAAGAGTCACTGATCATTTTGGGATATTTATAAACATTTACGTTCTACATTATAGACAAAAATAAGTGATTTGACTATTAATATTTCTGGAAAAACTCCTCAAGTCATAAGTTATCTGAAGGCAGGAATCATATCTTATTTATATTTGCATCTTCAGCACATAGCACAGTTCCTGTCACAAAGTAGGACTCATTAAGTGCCTACTGATTGACTGAAAAAATAAAACATCTCACCATTAATTCCTCAAAAAGGTAATGCTAACCTAGTTTTCCCAGACACTGATATTAGAAACAAAACTTTACTAGAGTTTTGATGAATTTGTCAGAAGAATGACCGCAGAGAGATAGTGCGGATGTTTTGTGTGTGTGTGTGTGTGTGTGTGTGTGTGTGTGTGTGTAATAAAAAGAGGGCTGGAAAATGAAAGGAAAGTTGTATAGACAGAATTGTATATTAGGAGACAATACAGAAGAGATTATCTACTTTTGTGTGTATGTTGAGAGACTAATTTTGAACTGTTAAACACAGCATCCTTTTTTTGTTTTTGTGAACTTGCATACAGAAGTATGTGTAGTATCCTTAATGTGTTAGCCAGTAGGATAAAAATTCGCTTCGCCTAAATAGCATTGCATGAGTTGGGGGTACTGAAAAAAGTATAAGTTTAATGAATTGAATCCAGTTAGGAGCATACAAATTTAATTATATTCCAGATCCATAAGAGTTTCCTCAGAGGAATTGTGTCATATTTTAATAGAGATTTCAAAGGTAACAATTTCAGTTTGAAAGTGTGCATAATAAAATTTTGGGAATTATGAAACAATTTTATAAATTTTTCTTGACAACAGTGATGAGAATGGGGAAAACATTTCAGCCATACATAAAATTTTAGAGTGTGATTAAGCACCTTCCACCTTATCCCACAAATTAAATGATTTCAGTGTTTACAAAAAAAAGAATATGTAATTTCAATAACTGGAATTTTCCCTTTTCTCCCCACTAGGCTATGCTGTTCATTTCCTCAGTAGGTCTCTTTTATGCTAACCTTTTTTATTTGATGTGACTGTGGTTAGAATATTTAACATTAGATCCAGCGTCTTAGCAATTTTTGAAGTGTATAATGCATTAGTATCAACTCTAGGTACAATCTTGTATACCAGATCTCTAGAGCTTATAAATCTTGCTTAACTAACACTTTTTGCCTGTTCATAATTACGTACCTTCCCATTTCCCCCTTCCCCCAGTCCTTGGCAACATTTCACTCTTTGCTTTGAATATTTTAGAAACCTCATACAAATTGAATCATTCCATATTTTTATTTCTGTGACTGGCTTATTAAACTTAGCTTATTATCCTCAAGGTATATCCATGTTTTTGCACACTGCAGTATTTTCTTTTTTAAAAAAGGCTGATTTGTATTGAATTGTGTATGCACCATATCTCTCTATCCATTCTATTTGATATCCTTTTGGAATCAATATTAGATTTTTGTGTCATTAATATCACCTTTGCCAACATGATAGACTTAAAAATGCCTGAATATATTCTCCATGAACGTATCAAACTATCTTGAAAAAGAATCAGCATAAGAAACAAAGATATCATGAATGAAGCTCCTTGAAGGGGCTGACAGTACAGCAAGGGGTTTAGGAACAAGAACTTTGCAATCTAACTGCTTGGGCTTAAATTCCAGCTGTGTTACAAACTAACTCTGTTACCTAGACAGGAAAACTGTCTCAATTTCTTCATCTATAAAATCAGAGATAATAATAGGACCTAACTCCTAGTGTTGCTGTGAGGAATAAATGAATAAACTACCTGAAATTTTACAGACACTGGATGCGTAAGTTATGATGATAATTTTTATTCCTGATAAGGTCTATACTAATGGCCTAAATTCTTATAAACTTGTATCTGCTAACTATTACCGCACAAAACTTATGAATGAATTAAATACTGCTTTTTAGTTATGTTTTTAGGAAAAAAGACATTATTATTTTGGATATTTGAAGTTCAAACTTATAGAACTCTGCTCTCTTTGAGATTCTCTCAAATTTAAAGAAATTCTTCTGCATTAATTTGATAAGTAGAAGTTACTCTACCATTTTAGAAAGGAGTGACTCCTATGTTCATATGTCTACCCCTCAAAAATCATCAGTCTCATTAATCAGGGCCTTTAATCAAACAACATATCAATCTGCTTGGAAGCTTTCTTTCTTCTACCATTTGGAAAAGTTATTCCACTAAATTCTTCTCCTACACATTCAAGACTTATCATACTCTCAAAAATTATAGCTACAAACAAGGAGTCCTAAGAGAACATGACTCATTTACAACCTTTTTCAAAAAGTGAAGAGGAGGAATTGAGTCCCCACTTCCTTACAAGTAATTAGGGAAATGTAATCCAAAGTAAAAAATTTGGCAATACCGGTTGTGGGCAAGGATATGGGGGAGGCAGAGACTTTTATATTCTTTTAATAGGACTATAAATGTGTTGCATCCATTTTGGATTATAACTTGGCATTAGCATTTCTGATTGTATATTATAAAAATAATTATTTATTAATGTATAAAGAGAGATGAATAGGAATCTTCACTGTAGCATCATTTGTAATAGCAAAAATTGGGAAATATTCTAAGTTAACATCAACATGAATGAAAAATGTAAGTACATTTATAAAATATGGTAAAATCAAGATGTAAACATAAATCTGTATGTATCAGTGTGGATAGCCTAAAAACATTAAAAAGAATTGCTTGATAATTTATATAAGATGTACAATCCACAAAAAAATAGTCCATATTAACTTCTGGTTTTAGTCAATTTCTAGAGGTTAAATACAAAGGGCTATTTTTGATTTGGTTCTGTTCAATCTTACAGAAATTCATGTGGGTCATACGCGTATATGATTAAAGTATAAAAAGGTCGATGTAAAAAATTTATACCAATTGTGTGGTGATGGTTTTCTCTGGTAGTATAAGAAGGATGGGAGTGGCTTGAAGAAAGATAATTAAGTGACTTCAACTGCATTGTTAATTTTTTATTCCCTTAAATCAATTCATGATGCTAATATTTTCATGTGTCACTTTTATTTGGTGAGTTATGGGTTTTGCTATTACTTCCTTTAATTATCTATGAGATAATTTTCTTTAATAGAAAATCAATTTAAAATAGAGCAAAGTAAGGAAAGAATATAATGCAAAACACATAATGTACAGCTGATATATTAAGACCTTAAAACTGGCCAAGACTCTGATCTTTAAATCTCTAAAATAATCATAATGTCTATTGACTTGCTAATGCATTTCTGATTTCCTTTATAAGCTGCTCAGTATCACCAAATAAATAGATCTAATTAACCTCAGTTATCTTCAAAGTGTCACTTGCTCAAATTTTATTTAATGAAACTTGCTTTTCTATTTTATGCCTTCAGGGAAAAAATTGGTGGCTACTAATGTTATTGTGGTTTACTAAGTTCAGATATCACTACTTAAAGCCTATTCATGTTTCTTCCTAGCAGCTTTTAAGATATGACACCATCATTATACAGCATATAAGGAAAGATTAGAGAGAAGGTCTAGCATGGCTGGGGTTATTAAGAAGCTTCAGCAAAATAATGAGGGGGGTGGGTCAGAAGGAAGAGAAATAAAATAGCATACATAAGGATCAAATTAATATGCTTAGCTTCTTATGTTCAGGTTTATGATGAATGGGAATGACAGTTGTAACCCTGGACACTTAAGGGAATCCACCTGACAGTAATGGAAAGAGGAAATTACAGATGATGGGAAAGAGATGAGAAGCTGGTACCAACCAGCTTGTCAGGGTACTTGGCACCTATACTCAAGTTGATGGTGGGGGTACCAAGGAGATTCTGCCTGTCCGAGAAAATCATGTAGAAGGAGGCCAACTAGTTTACCTGGCATTTTTATGGAATATGTAGAGGGATACTCAATATCATCAGAGAAGTGCTTATCATCAACATCCTCATCGACCTATGGAAAGATAACATCATCACCATTGATATTTAGAAGAAGGGCTATTGATTCTCAAAACTTCTTTTGTCATTGGTTTTAGGAAATGAAGGTAGCAACATACAAATAACTGGAGAGTCATTAAGAATAGGATTGATGAGGAAAATGGCATTTACACATACTAGTATTTATAAATACTAAAATTAGAATAATAATTAAATTACCTATGAAATGGATTTTCAAGTTTACTAAATTATAGTTGTCTGCATACATGTTCTTATATACATATTAAATATATATATATAATTACACACATAGAGTCAAATAATATATAGATTACCATTGTGAGATTCTGATATTAGATATAAATCTCTCCTCATTTGATATTAGTGAACATTTTAGGTTGTTTTGATTAGTGACTGTCCTCTATTCTATGCTATCTTGTTCAGTAAACTTTGTGTTCCTTCACATTTGCTTCTGTATAACTATTTTTATCTATTTTTCATACTGGTCCACATAGTTACAGGTTCTTTCATAAGCTCTGATATAAAAATTGTAAGAGTGTTTATTATCTAGGTATGCAGCAATATATTTTATCAATTGTATTCATATTTCTATAGATACTTATTTTCTTATTTGCTTTTGTATAAATTTGTGCAGTCCCAGATTCTGCTTCTTTACTTTTCTATGAATAACTGTTGCTATTATATAAAAAAATTCAACCTTTCTGGGCTTCTGTGGGGAGATATGTTCTCTAAATATCTTCTGAAATGTAGCACAAGTGGAACGGCCTTCAATTTAAAATAGTTTTGACACTTGTTACAAACCCTGTAAGGTTAAAAAAATATATTGGTACATAAAGTGTGATACTTTGTGTATATATTGTTTTGGTAAAGCCAACATTAAGAAAGCACAATTCAGAGTGCTCAGCTAATATATTAACCAAGTATGTCCAGTTGAGCAATGCTCCACAAACATTACATGAAAAAGAAACATACACTGGAAATGACTATAAGCATGCCTTCTGATATTGATGTCTCCATACATCTCAATCAGTAATGATGCTTTGCTCATTAGCATGATGGATGTCAAATATAAATTTTTTGATGTACAATAATAAATGGTAATATGTGATAGTAGCATAATAAATGTTATCTTATTTGTGAAATTAAAGTTATTCATGATAAGATGTTCAGCTAAAATATTTTAAGACATGCCTTACTTTTGCATGGAACAAGACATAAAAATCCCTAAGTATTACATCCTTAGGAATGACACTGTAGCCTAAGTTGCTATTTCTATGGCCAGCTGTGAACTGTTGCCATAGTTGGTTGATATCGATATGGTTAATAGAATTCATTCTAAAAAATCTTGGCATTTGTCTCAAAATAACCTCTTACAACAAATAATAGTAAGAGTACTTAAAATCCAGTGTAATTGAAAATTTTCCAAGTAAAAAACAGATTGTGGGAATTGTTTCTTTTATATAACTAAAAATAGTTTGTTAATAAATGCCCCTGTTTGTAGTTGCCATGTTTGTAAAAGTCTGATCTAAGATTTGTTAATGTAATAATCCCTTCCAATTGAAATATTTAGTGGCTAATTTTAACTACCAGAAGGAACCTATACATGACCAAGTAGCATTAAGTCAGTTCACAAATACTTCCTCTACTCTTGCCCCCCAAATCCATTATTTTGAAGTCAATAACTCAGTGTCAGATGGTGTGTGAGCACTGCATACAAAAATAATTTTCAGATATAGCTCCCAATTTTAGTTAATAAATGTAACAGAGAAGGCATACTATTATTCAGATGTCAGTAGAACATTGAGCTGAATGAGTGAGTAGGTCTCATTATGCCACATAGGTAGACTTCCTTTAAAAAAAAGAAAAAAAAAGGGAAGAGGTATGATTTAACATCAATCCTCTAACAAAATGATTGAAAAAATGCAACATATGTGAGAATCTTGGCTCTTGGGTATATAATAAAATATAGTCAGGGTAGTTAACAGTTATACTCGTATTACCACACAGCTATATCTGATCAAGTTGCAATTTACTGATGATTCAATCATATTTACATAATTTACCATTGATTCCAAGTTGTTAAGGATGTTGCCAGAATAATATAGATTTTGGAAACATTCCAAAATCTCATAAAGGCAGAATACAATGAAATTTACTACATTGTAATTTCCTTTCTACTCCCACTCAGGAATTCTAAAATTGCTTCATAGTTTTTGTAATGTTATGTTTTTGTGGCAATTTACTCTCTTCCTTATGTATATGTTTAGACTAGAAGGACATTTTCTGAACAAAAAAACAAAATAATGGGGATGAAATAACTTTGATTAAGTCCTTGTTCTGTCACTAACTAGCTGTCAGAACTTAACTAGGTCATTTTTGTGAAAAAAGAACAATAATATTTGTTCTACCTCTAACAAAACGGTTATGTGTCACTTAATAAGAAAAATCCCTCTAAAGTGCTTCAAAATGTAAAATGCTAGGCAAATGTGATTTTTTAAGATTAAATTACTTTTCTTAAGTCCCCACCAAATATCCTTAAATTTGAGATGCTTTTTGCCATTACTCTAGAATGCCACCACTATTCACTGTATGTAGAATACTAAATACGGCATGATGTATGGGTCAGTCGTGTACAGTGGAAACTTGTTCTATTCAAAGTACCAATTTCTGGTTGAGAAACACTTTACTAGAGGGTGAAAGAGCAGGAGCATCACCATCTTGGACAAGCTCCTCATTCTAAAGTTCACCTTAATAAAAAAAGAAAACCTATCTAAATCCAAAGGGCATCAGCCTTAATGGCTAAGGTCAGCATGACCATAAACCACAAATAATATCTCCGACCAGAAACATCCCAAACTCCTCCCCAGGCAGAGACATGCTAGCCCCAAGATAAACCCCCTCCAGCTGGGAAGACGCCAGCCCCAAGATAACCTCCCCTCTGCCCAGAGACATTTCAACCCTGCCATAAACTTCTGCCCCACACAGAAACATCCCAAGCTTGTAATAGGCTCCTTTACCCTAAAACCAATATATACTCTTAGTCTGTAAGAGAAAGTGCCCCTGACAGAAATTGGCCAGAAGCCCCCCTTGGGTTTTATCTAAAGTAAACCTGTCTTTAACTATCAAGCTGTGTTTTCTGTTTCTTTCCTCTTTCTTTAACTTTTACAGAGGGTATCTGTTTTATCTCTAGCCTTCTAAGACATATAAGCTCACATGTAACACAGCTCAGATTTTGGGGAAAAATAGAAATGACTATGTCTGTTCTGATCCTTTTAGCTATGCTACCATTTAACTCCTCCACCACCAACACCATGCCCTATTATTCCCCTTGTTCTTACATTTAACTTGCTGAACACAAACTCCTCTTCTAGAAGCCCAGTTTTGATGCCCATATATTGTTACCTGGATTTTGTAATAGCTGGATTCTTATATGACAGTGTTACCAGTGGAGAGTGTCCAGATTCTTGATGTCTTGAACAAAAAATTGGACAAAACACACAAACAAAACAAGGAAAGAATGAAGCAACAAAAGCAGAGATTTCTTGAAAATGAAAGTATGCTCCACAGGGTGGGAGTGGGCTCGAGCACTGTTACAGAATTTTCTGGGGTTTAAATACCCTCTAGAGGTTTCCATTGGTTACTTGGTATACGCCCTGTGTTAATGAAGAGGATGAAGTAAAGTTACAAATTCATTTACTCATTGTATGCCCTATGTAAATAGAGAGGATATTTCCTATCATAGCTGAAGTGTTTTCATTTGATTTAGTTCTAGGAAGTCCTTAGGTTCCTTGCCTCCAGGCCCTATTCTCCCACCTCAACAGCATCTGTGAGCATTTTTTTTTTGTTCACTTATTTGTTATCAGGATCAACCATCTTGTTGTTTTGGGTAATTTCTTCCCCATTTCAAGACTCAGCCCCAAAGGACACCATTCACTCTCCAGCTGCATCCCTTCCCATCTCCAGATATTCTAACTCCTAGTCTATAAGCAAGACAGAATAAAATTTAAATAAAATATAAAGGAATTTTAACTTTTAGGAATTAATCTAGGATTACTGATTTTCTATCAAATTTCAGATTTGAAAGTCTTTGAAGATGTTTTCAACCCAACATTTTACCTAATATAAAACTCATCTATGTTGTGGTCTTAAATAAAAGCAAAGGCTTGGTTTTAACACTTTAATAATGGAAATTTAACTAAGCTGTTCAGTGTTAACTTTTGATTTTTACTGTTAGTAAATTTTCCTTGTACTGAAATGAAAACTTTCTCCTCATAACATATATCAATTTGTCCTGATTTTGTGCTCTTTATCTATTGATAATATCAAGTATCTCTTTCACAAATCTTTCAGATATTTTATGATATATGTCATGTCTATAGCCTCGTTCCTAATATGTCATGGCATAAATTAAACTTAACATTTTACTAACTTTGGGTCTTAAAAAATTGTCCATTGGCTTACATTTTTATTAAATGTATCTTTTATATATTCATCTAAATTATTGATAAAATTCTAGGCAGGAAGTAACAAAGTGATAAACCCTGCAGATTACCTTTAAAGCTCCTCTCTGTAGTTTGACAGTGCTGCATTATTCATTTATCTAAACAATCACTTATCTGTCCTGATATCCAATCCACATTTTCTCACATTGTACATAAAGTTTTTAGGCCTCACTACACACTTTCCTTTATATACTTATTTAATAATCTGTAAGGAAACATATTTAGACTACCTTGATGAACACAGTAACAACTTATATTTATTTTGAACAGAAATGTGGCTTGGCTTCAGAAAATCCAGAGACTTAAATAAGATCAAGCTCTTTCTATTTGCTCTACACTTCTCTCTGCGTGTGGCTTCATTATGTTCTCTCTAAAATCATTTTTTTGGTGCACTTTGGAAAACATTGCTGCTTTCATCCACACAGCTTCACATCATACAGCTTTACCTACCTGAGAAAAGACTATTTTGCTCTCAAGCCCCTAATTCCCAGTTAAAAGGAGGTTCATTTTGTCAGATTGGCTCATTTGTTTATTGTTGAATAAAACAGTGGTCAAAAAAAATCTAACATTTGTATAACATGGTTACAAGGCAGCTTATGTGATAAACATGTAAAAGATGAAAGGATCAGTACCTATAGAAAAGTACTGCAGCATTGGACATGCTATTCCAAACATGTCAGTTTTATTGATGTTTGATGAAAAAAAATGAAATGAGTAAGTCATTTCATTGTTTAGGGTATTTTTTTTTTAGATCTTTAAACTGATGTATTGAATACTCAATTTCAGATATTTCCTAGGCATTAGTGCTAAGTGTACTGTAGTTTCTTCGATCCAATATTTTATCCTCTTTAAAAATCAGGACAACTCTCTCACTTAATCCCTTTGTAACTCTGTAATTTTTAGAATTCTCCAAAGATAAATGGTGAAAATCTGCCAAAGAATTTTCATGAAGAGATAAAAAGGAAAAGGAAATTTGGGGTTTTCTTTCTTTTTATCATTTCTTAAAGATTACAACATCTTGCCTGTCCCTTCCTTTTCCTCCTTTCTCCTCCTTCTTTGGCTTTGAATGTATAAAAATAATAGCTACTACTCGCTAAGTCTCATAGACTTCTGAACCTTTCTGTAGACTATTTTACTTAAAACCTCTGTGGACGCCAAACATTTGAGACAGGTCGCAGTCAATTAAGGAAGTTTATTTTGCCAAGGTTGAGGAAGCACACAGGTAACACAGCCTCAGGAAGTTCTGATGACATATGACCAAGGTGGTTGAGGCACAGCTTGATTTTACACATTTTAGGGAGACATGAGACATCAATCAATATATATAAGGAGTACATTGGTTCAGTCTGGAAAGGCAGGACAACTCGAAGCAAAGGCAGGAAGACTCAAAGCAGGGAGGGGGCTTCCAGGTCACAGACAGGTGAGAGACAAAGGTTGCATTCTTTTGAGTATCTGATTAGCCTTTCCAAAGTAGGCAATCAGATATGCATTTATCTCAGTGAGCATAGAGATAAATTTGAATAGAATGGAGGCAGGTTGCCCTAAGCAGTTCCCAGCTTGAATTTTCCCTTTAGCTTCCTGATTGTGATTGTGGGGGCCCAAGATATTTTCCTTTCACACCTCCTAGCAACAATCTGAGATACTTACCCTACTTATTAGAATAGAATGGGAGGCAGGCTGCCCTAAGCAGTTCCCAACTTGAATTTTCCCTTTAGCTTCGTGATTGTAATTGTAGGGGCCCAAGATATTTTCCTTTCACACCTCCTAGCAACAATCTGAGATACTTACCCTGCTTATTCAAGTTGTACAAAAGAAAAGTATGACTAACGAAAGTTAAATAACTCCACAAGATATCTAAGATAATAAGTGGTGGAGCTATCAATTCTATCAAGCAGGTTGGCTCTTAAGTACTAGGTATGCTGCCTCCTAAGAACCCTCACTTTCCCCCTTAACATTTTTCTCATAAATATCAAAATATTAACCTTTCTGTTATTGTATATGCTAGTACCAGAATACTTGACTGCATTACAAGAAACAGGTTGAGATGTCTTTATATAATACCTATGTATCATTACTACAAAACTGATAACCCCCTTGATAATATTCTCTTTTATGACTTGAATAACTGTAACACTCAATCTGATTTCTGTCTTAACAAAATATAAAGCCTTTGCCACCTGGGGCTAATATTCATAAACCTTCACTTATTTAGTGAATTAACAAATAATGTAATTAATTATTACTGATTTTTCCCCATTGGGGTGAGGTGCCTTGTTTTTAGTTCATTTTCTAAAGATATCTTGAGCAAATTTTAGAAGCACCATACCCTTAAGCCTAGTCCTCAGTCATTGAAATTTGTACATATGACATTCACTATTAAAAACATAGTTTGAATTGAATTAACTTACAGCTATAAACAAATTTTTTCAGGCTAAGTGACATGTCATTCACCTCCTTTAACAATTATCACCCAATTATTCCCAATTTCTAACTTACACTCAAAAGGAAAAAATTCAGTTTTCTAACCTGCATATTGCTCAATTCCTAGCTAGTGTCAAAAAATAACCCACAGCCTACCATTAGTTGAAGCAGTGAAGACAAATTTTAGGTAACTGACAGTATGTGATAGAGCAGTGCTCCATTCACATTTATACAAAGATAACTGAACATTTTCAAGGGAGAATGAGGGAGGAGAGAGTGTGGGGGGTTCAGTAGAGTCAAAGAAGTAAAAACGTACAAAGGGTTAATTCATGTAAATGTGATTAGACCAGCTGCGTCAGCTGTGTCAGCTTCCTGGCAGTTATTGAAATGAGGATGCATTCTCCCACAGAGACTGGGGCACAGAGGACTTACCTCTCTTGATAATTACACTGTAAAGGAATGGCTCTCGGGCTGGGCACAGTGGCTCACGCCTGTAATCCCAGCACTTTGGGAGGCTGAGGCAGGTGGATCACGAGGTCAGGAGATCAAGACCATCCTGGCTAACATGGTGAAACCCCGTCTCTACTAAAAATACAAAAAATTAGCCAGGCATGGTGGCAGGCACCTGTAGTCCCAGCTACTCAGGAGGCTGAGGCAGGAGAATGGCTTGAACCCGGGAGGCGGAGCTTGCAGTGAGCCAAGATTGTGCCACTGCACTCCAGCCTGGGCGACAGAGCAAGACTCCATCTCAAAAAAAAAAAACAAAAAAAAAAACAAAAAAAAAAAACCAGGAATGGCTCTCAGTTTCCTGAGAAAGATGTTTCTGAATTTCAAGAGATACATATTGGCAATTGTAAATCCTTTTTAATAAATTGCTCTTGACAGAGCAGGAACATCACCATCTTGGACAAGCCCCTCATTCTAAAGTTCACCTTAATCAAAAACCGCCTAAATCCAAAGGGCATCAGCCTTATGGCTAAAGTCAGCTGGCCGTAAACCATAAATAACATCTCCAAGCAGAAACATTCCAAACTTCTCCCCAACCAGAGACATGCTAGCCCCGAGATAACCCCCCTCCGGCTGGAAAGATGTCAGCCCCAAAATAACCTCCCCTCCACCCAGAGACTTTCCAACCCCATCATTAAACTTCTTCCTCACACAGAAACATTCCAAGCTTATGATAAGCCCCTTCACCCTAAATCCAATATATACTCTTAGCCTGTAAGAAAAAGTGCTCCTGACCAAAATCGGCCAGAAGCCCCTCTCAGGTTTTTTTCTAAAATAAATGTGCCGTTACCTGTTAAGCTGCATTTCGTGTTTATTTGCTCTTTCTTTAACTCTTACAGCTCTAAGATAAGGAACTCAGGGCCTATCATCAGGTTGGCTTGAACAAACAGAAAATTTTCCTAGCAGCCTTGTGCTTTCCCAGGTAGGCATTTTAATTCAGGCCTGGGGTCATGCTAGGCACACATTATGCTACTAGAAGCCATGCTACAGTTTGGTTAAGTCTCTTAGTGGAGGGGTTTGGATGAAATTGTCATGTGACAGGAGACTTGCAGTTGTCACTAATATAGTGGCTTGTTTACTTATTTTCAAAAAAAAAAAAACCCAACAGTAAACTTCTAAATGGAAGATTAAGTAATACACAATCAAATAGTGTCTGAAAGATTTTTGTTTTTCAGAATCAGTAGAAAGTTAAAATAAAAAAATAAAGTAAACTGAGTTTTTGTTCCAATTATAATATGGTTGAAAATATTTTATTTTCTTTCTTAGCAGCCAGAAGAATCCATTACCTTATAAATAAAATACCTGGGATATTGATGCTGATGTCAATTTTTCCACATGTGTAAATGACTCTGTCTATGTATTTACATTGTATTTACAATTGTCATCTGACTGTTGGAGAAAAATAAACTAAGGGATCACAGGGCTCCACTGAAGCACTGGAATGATATTTGCTAGAAAAATTTTGATCCACATTGTCACTCTTGCCTCTTCTCTGTCTTGCAGTTTGTGAGGATTGTACAAAAAACTGACAAAATTCTATTCTAAATAGCCTTGAACGTCTGCAGACTTTGCTCAATGGCAAAAATAAACATTGGTTTCTTAGATTTTCCAAAAGCCATCCCTGGTTATGGTATAATTCTTTTTATTGCACTGAAAAAATGTAACAGTTGTTTTACACACTAATAAAATCCAATTATGTTTGAAAGACATATATTAAAACCCTACTGTCCACAAGTTATTTCACTAAAGTTTCAGAATGTAAATAAATGAATCAAGTGTAATCCTCATCTTCTGTTACTGAAAAAAACTGTAATACAAGACTATATAAAAAATAATGTTTATGTAATTTATGATACATGGCAGTATTTTGTACTTGTACTGAATGTGTACCTTGTATTCAGACATGACAAGTTACTTACACTCCAAATTTCCAAACTTTCGCCAAGAATTATGAGGGTCAGATATTTTACTCTTCTTGCAAGCTAACAATTTAGCCTACCACAGTTTCATAGTGGTGGACAGAAGTCACAAAACTCCAGGATCAGATACAAAGGCTCTTATTATTCATAGCACAGCAAGCAGCATAAATATGAGTGTCAGTTTCCTTTGCCTGCAAGGTCCATTGGTTTAATGTGATATGGATCAGATGCATGCTATGCATGCAATGGTTTGGAATTACAGCTGAGACACACTGAACTTCCCAAATCTTTTATGACAGTGAGTAAACATGCCTGACTTTGCACTAAAGGAAAACATTTTTATTTTTTAATTAAACTGGAGAAAAATAATTTCGTCACTGTTTTCCGTAGGAATGTATTATATCTACATTTCAAAATTTTTTTCTATACAAAAATCCTTGAAAAAATATTTTGGAGCAAAGGACAGATGGTGCCTTTCTCACAGGATGTGCAGTTGTATTAGTCTGCTTTCACGCTGCTATAAATAACTACCTGAGACTGGGTAGTTTATAAAGAAAAGAGGTTTAATTGACTCACAGTTCCACATGGCTGGAGAGACCTCATGAAACTCACAATCATGGCAGAAGGTGAAGAGGAAGCAAGGCACATTGTATGTCGCCAGGAGACAGAGAAAGTGAGGTGGACTGCCAAATACTTTAAAAGCATCAGATCTTGTGAGAACTCATTTACTATCACAAGAGCAGCATGAGGGAGACCTCGCCCATAATCCAATCACCTCCCACAAGATCCTTCCCCAACACATGAAAATTACAATTTGAGATGAGATTTGGGTGAGGATACAGAGCCAAACCATATCATTCCACCCTGGCCCCTCCCAAATCTCATGTCCCTCTCATATTTCAAAACACAATCATGTCTTTCCAACAATACCTCAAAGTCTTAACTCATTCCAGCATTAACTCAAAAGTCCAAGTCCAAAGTCTCATCTGAAACAAGACAAGTTCCTTCTGCCTATGAGTCTGTAAAATGAAAATAAGTTGGTTACTTCCAAGACACAATGTGGGGTACAGGCATTGTGTAAATGCTCCCATTCCAAAAGGGAGAAATTGGCTAAAACAAAGGGGCTACAGGCTCCATGTAAGTCTGAAATCCTGCAGGACAGTCTTTAAATCTTAAAGCTCCAAAATAATCTCTTTTGACTTCATGTCTCACATCAAAGGCACAAGGATGCAAGGGGTGTGCTCCCATAGCCTTGGACAGCTCCACCCCTGTAGCTCCATAGGGTGCAGCCCCTGAGGCTCCTTTCACAGGCCGGTGTTGAGTACCTGCAGCTTTTCAAGGTGCATAGAGCAAGCTATTGGTAGATCTACCATTCTGGGGTCTGGAGGATGATGGCCCTAGATTTCTCTGAAATCTAGGTGGAGGTTCCCAAACCTCAATTCTGGTCTTCTTTGTACCCACAGGTTTAACACCATGTGTAAGCCACCAAGGTTCAGGGATTGTACTCTCTGAAGTAATGGCCCAAACTGTACCTTGGCCCCTTTTAGCCACAGCTGGAGCTGAAGCTACTGGGATGCAGGGCACCATTTCCCAAGACTACACAGAGCAGTGTGGTCCTGAATGCAGCCCAAGAAACCATTTTTTCCCTCCTAGTTTTCTGGGCCTGTGATGGGGTGGGGAGGGTTGGGGGGCTGCAATGAAGACCTCTAAAATGCCCTGGAGACATTTTTCCCATTGTCTTGGCTATTAACATTAGACTCCTCTTTTCTTATGCTAATTTCTGCATTGGTGTCTTGAATTTTTTCCCCAGAAAATGGCTTTTCCTTTTATACCACATGGACAGGCTGCAAATTTTCCAAAATGTTATGCTTTGCTTCCCTTTTAAAGATAAGTTCCAATTTCAGACCATCTCATTGTGAGTGCATATGACTGTAAGCGTTTATAAAAAGCCAGGTCACGTCTGGAATGCCTTGCTGCTTAGAAGTTTCTTCTGCCAGATACCCTAAATCATCTCTCTCAAATTCAAAGTTCCACAGATCTCTAGGGCAGAGACAAGATGCCGCTAGTCTCTTTGCTAAAGCACAGCATGAGAGACATTTACTCCAGTTCCCAGTAAATTCCTCATCTCCATCTGAGATAATCTCAGCCTGGACTTAATTGTCCATACCACTATCGCATGTTAGTCAAAACCATTCAGCTAGAGTCTAGGAAGTTCTAAACTTTCCCAAATCTTCCTGTTTTCTTCTGAGCCATCCAAACTGCCCCAGCCTCTGCCTGTTACCCAGTTAAAAAGTCTGTTTCACATTTTCAGGTAACTTTATATCAATGCCCCACTTCCCTCAGTACCAACTTTCTGTATTAGTCTGTTTTCACACTGCTATAAAGAACTACCTGAGACTGGGTAGTTTATAAAGGAAAGAGGTTTAATTGAATCACAGTTCCACATGGCTGTGGAGGCCTCAGGAATCTCACAATTATGGTGGAAAGCAAAGGGGAAGCAAGGCATACCTTACATGGCAGCAGGAGAGAGAGAGAGAGAGAGAGAGAGAGAGAGAGAGAGAGCAAGAGGGGGAACTTCCAAACACTTTTAGACCATTGGATCTCACGAGAACTCACTATCACAAGAACAGCATGGGGGAAAATGCCCCCTTGATCCAATCACCTCCCACCAGGTTCCTCTCTCAACACATGGGGATTACAATTTGATGAGATTTGAGTCAGGACACAGATCCAAGTCATATCAACAGTACCATGACATACCCATGGAGAATAGTCTCCTGACAATTTTCTACCTCTAAAATTGGTAAACAATTTCTATTCTGAGGGTGTTTTGTAAAATTCTGAAAATTCAGTTAAATTCTGTCCTGAGGATGTTTTGTAAGATTCAATCATTTGTAAACAGTATAGCCCAGTAACTGGCACAGTGAATGGTCTCAATAAAAATTTATGTCCTCTTATTTACTTTCTCTTCACTTTAACTTTAAAATAATGCAATCAATATAAATATGAAAAGATTTCATTAATGGATTTTTATTATTTTTATTTTTATTATTTAAAAAATTATTATTCTGAATAAACCTACAGACCCCTGTCTATTGTATGTTAGGTCATCAAAATATAAGTCACATATTAAGTATACAAATTTGGGCTGCTGATGGTAAGATTGCCCTGGGAGATAAAGTAATTTATTGTAAAGAAGGTAAACTTTGAACTGCTTATATAAGTCATTCCACTTACTGCCAAAACTGTGATAATTCTCTGTGTCTTAACACAGTATACACGTGCTGACATATATTGGTGGTCAACAAATATTTATTCAATGCATAGACTGATGAATAACAGGTAAGCAATCATTGATCAATACAGTATAAACTATTAATTCAACACCGTATTTGAATCTTCGGAAGTGTCAGCTGTAAAAATAGTCCATGGAAATAGTCGTGCTGTAAAAGTCATTTACAAGTAGATTACAAATATATTTAAAATTTAAAATACATAAATATTATGAATAATATTTAACAAAACTTTTAAAAAGTTAATGCATAGAAAATGTATATTCATATCTTAAAGGTTATCTCAATATTCTCTCAAAAATAAAAATAAAATGATGACTTCAGATTAGGAAAGAACCTTTTTACATTGTGTCATATTTAGATATAAAATCAACTATAGAAATTTTCCTATGAGTTAATATGTGAATAACTTATTCACTGCTATAAGTAATAATATAGTATTTGTGGACACCACTTGTCAAAATTATTATCATACTTAAACTAGCAAGAATGAAATTTTGGATTAACTGGACAAATGAATGGCATATCTTTCTAGAAAATTATAGAGTGATATTTTGTCAACATTGGTAACTTAGTATATTAGGATTTATCAAAATATTGCCTGTTACTTTGAAGAATCTTAATTGTATCTCCAATACAGAAAAATACATAACTTCTTTTTAAAAGCCTGAATATATTAACAGTGAGCTCTGCTCAAATATAACACAAAAGAAAGTTAGCTAGTAGCCAACACCCAGAGCATAAAGTTATAGAATTTATAACACTTATGATAAATTTGAGAATTAATCATGCATTTGCATTTATGTACTTGAATAATGTTATTAACTTGTATAAATCTATTCCCTGCCTTTCATAAAATGATTTCATGGTAAAGCTAAAGAAATGTAATAGAGGTTAACTGATAAAGAAATGTCATATGAATTTTTTGAAGTACATTTATCAACATACGAAAAATTATGCACTTACATAGAGTTTTTTCTGGAGTTGGTTTCTGAAGTTTCATTCCTGAGTCAAAGTAGTGGGCTGAGGTGTTAAAATGGCATAGCTTTGGGTTCTAGTATCACTATGGCAGTATAAGGCTACCACAGCAAATCTCTTCTGCTCAGTACAACAGACAATTCTTAACACAATACAAAAAGAATCTATGTGAGGACTCTTAAAGGTATATAAAGGTAATGTTTTAGATCAGAGTCAAATCTTGAAGATGTGTCCTGCATGGGGGATGATATTATCATTTTGTTCTTTTCTCTTTCACGTTTATCCCAGGGGTAACCCAATTACAGAACCATAAAACAGAGAAGAAACATAAATGGCTAAATCGCTAATAGAATTCTCACCTTTCTGTACTGAAGAACTTGGAATTATTGGAAAATAGTTCCATATAAACTGAAGAATGTGGGAGAAAATGTAGGAAGTAAAAATCTGAAAAATGGATACCACTAATTCAATAAGTCTAGAGGTCACTCTTGCATCATGCATGCACAGGAATGACAAAACTCGCATAGTAGAGACTTCAAAAATTAAACTGAGATTGGTACCACTACCCTTGGAAGATGAGACAGAATTTGTAGTTTATGCCTAAATATTTGAATTGCCTGCTAAAAATTAAAGCAACTTTCTCCCTCCAGAGGAGTACAACAGGACCCGGAATCTACACATCATGATATTTAAATGTTCAGGGTATAATCTAAAATTAATTTCACATGGAAAGAAATGTGACACATTTTCACAGGAGAATACTCTCAAAAGATGATATCTACAAGATATCCAAATAACATACAAGTGGCCAACAAACATAAAAAAATGTTCAACATCACTAAACATCAAAAAAATGCAAATTTAAACCACAATGAGGTACAATCTCACACCAGTCAGAACTGCTATTACTGAAAAGTCAAAAAACAGCAGATGCTGGAGAGGCTGTGGAGAAAAGGGAACACTTAAACACTGTGGGTATGTAAATTAGTTCAGTTACTATGGAAAGCAGTTTGGAGATTTCTCAAAGAATTAAAATAGAACTACCATTCAACCCAGTAATCCTATTACTGGGTATATACCCAAAGGTAAATAAATTATTCTACCAAAAAGAAACATGTACTTACATGTTCACTGCAGCACTATTCACAATAACAAAGACATGGAATCAACTTAGGTGCCTATTAATGGTGGACTGGATAAAGAAAATATGGTATGTAATCACCATGGAATACTATGGAGCCATAAAAGAGAATGAAATCATGTTCTTTGCAGAAACATGGATGCAGCTGGAGGCCATTATCCTAAGCAAATCATACAGAAAAAGAAAATCAAATACTGCATGTTCTCACTTACAAGTGGGAGCTAAACGTTGGGTATAGGTAGGCAAAGAGATGGAAACAATAGACAAGAATACTAGAGTGGGAAGGAAGAGCAAACGGCAAAGGGGGAAAAACTACCTATTGGGTACTAGGCTCACTATCTGGGTGACAGGACAATTCACACCCCTAACCTCAACATCATGCAACATACCCATGTAACAGACCTGCACATGCTCCCCCAGAATCTAAAAGTGGAAATTAAAAAAATAAAAAAAAAACCCTCTTCATGCCCATTTCTTTCAGATATATTTGGCTTAAATTCTGCATTATATTAGATTCTATGTCCTTTTAGAAACAGCCAAAAGAAAAATGCAAGGAGTAACAAGGAATGTGCATTTTTTTCATTAAAGAAAGAGATTTTTAAATAATGGAATTATCAGAAAAATACTTTAAATCAGCTAATTTATAACCATTCTCTATAAGGTGAAAAGTAAACACACTTGAGAGTGACGGAAGGTGAATCTGACAAATATACATATGTATGTGTTTATACACACACACGTATATGCTATGAAACAACTGAAAAATTTAGCGCTGAAAATACTTTTCTGAAATTTAAAAAATGTACAGGATGTGCTCAGTAGCAGAATAGAGATGATAGAGAGAGTGGATGAATTTGAAGATAAATCATTAGTGATTAATCAATCTGGAAGATAGAAAACAAAACCAAAAAAGGAACAGAACATCAGGGACTAATAGAAAAATATCAAAAAGTCAAATACATGAATCATTGCAGTCCAAGATGTAGATTTCTGGGCTGTATGACTGATTGAGAGTATTAACTCAGGTTAAACCCTGCAATTTCCTTGTATTCAGAAGCAGCTGCCACTCTAGGGATGAAAAAGCAGCTAGCATTTATATTACAAAGTATTTGTGCAAACAGAACTTCAGAAATCTCTAATATTCAACTGAGTACTGATCAGCACAAGTATGTGAGGAAATTACCAGTTTAGGGAGAGAATTACCCAAAGGAGTTAGAGGGAACAATACCAAGACCTCACACTGAGCTAAGAAGAGTGCCTGTTTCCAACAATCAAAGCAGTGAACTGTATAATTGATGGGGCACCATTAAAGTACTAAGTAGCATTTTGCATAAGTAGTTGAAAAATTTAGTCCTAGAATAAACTATGTTTCAGTATCTTCTAACAAAGCTTAACAGCAAAACCGAAAATATCAAACAAACTATTTCTGGGTTTTTTTGTTTTTGTTTTTGTTGTTGTTGTTGTTGTTGTTTTGAGACGGAGTCTTGCTCTGTAGCCCAGGCTGGAGTGCAGTGGTGCATCTCTGCTCACTGCAAGCTCTGCCTCCTGAGTTCATGCCATTCTCCTGCCTCAGCCTCCCGCGTGGCTGGCACAGCAGGTGCCTGCCACCACGCCTGGCTAATTTTTTTATGTTTTTAGTAGAGACGGGGTTTCACCGTGTTAGCCAGGATGGTCTCGGTCTCCTGACCTCGTGATCCGCCCGCCTCGGCCTCCCAAAGTGCTGGGATTACAGGCGTGAGCCACCACGCCCGGCCAATATCAAACTATTTCTAAGTAATGAAAACATGACCAATAACAAATATCCAAAAATTTATAGGTTAACAAAATATTTAGCATCCACAATTTAAAATTCACAATGTATTATAAGCAATTCAAATTTACCAAGCATGCAAAGTAACAGAAAAATACAAATTAATATTGAGGGAAAATCAATTAGTCAAAACAGATACAGAAGTACATTGATTAATAAACATGACATAACAATAATTATTATAACAGTTTTTATTATGTTTAAGAAGCCAGACAAAACATTAAAGCATATTAGGTAGAGAATTGGGAGTTGTATAAAATGATTCAGATCTAACGTCCAGAGATGAAGGTAAGAATGAATGCCTGAGATAAAATTCGCTGGATGGGATAAATGGCAGACTAGATTTTCCACATAGAAAGGATTTGTACACTTGAAGAAAGCAATAAGAAAGCTATGTAAAATAAATCACAGAAAACATGAAAGACTAATAAAATTAGCAGAGTGTCAATGAACAGCAAGACAACTTCAAATTGCCTAATATATGTGCAGCTCAAGTCATCGGAATAGATGAGATGGAACAAACAGAAATATATTTAGAGATATAATGGCTAGAAATTTTCCAAACTTGAAAATTATAAACCCACAGCTCAGTGAATCCTAACTAGCACAAAAAGCATGAAGCACATCTCACCAAGGTATACCATAATAAAATTTTTTAAATCCAGAGGACAAGAAAAATGTTAGAATCAATAAGAGATAAAAAGATTCTCTAAGCATACACCATTATTTAAAGGTTTATAAATCAGTTACGTGCCCACAGTGAAGTAATAAAATTTGCAAATACAGTAGTAAAAATACATAAAGTTGAATATTACAGATAAGGGTTTAAGATTTTAATGTGTATTAGAGTTGCCCAGTATGCTGGTTAATATTGCACATTCTAGGGCCTCAAACCTGGAATTCCAGTTTCAATAGGTCTGTTGTAGGATCTATGAATCAGCACTGTAACTAGAAAAAAATGGTTAAAATTCTTGTAGCATTTTTACCGAGATAAAATTAACATACAAGAAAATAAAAAATCTTGAGTGCTGTTTGATGTGCTTTGACAATTACATACACACATCTAACTACCAACCAAAATTAGACATAGAACATTTACAACACGCCTGAAAGTTTCCTCACCTAGGGAGACAGTGAAACCCATAGGTAATGACTGTTGATTTCTATTAACATAATGTAGTTTTGTCTATTCATATAAATGGACTTGTACAGTATGTACTTATTTGTGTTTGGCTTCTTGTATTCAATTTAATGGTTTTAGATTCTCTATTTTTTTACATATGAGAATTTGTTTTCTTTTTATTGTTGAGTAAGATTTCATTGTATAAATGTATCACAAAGTTTAATCCATTCATGTGTTAATGGGCATTTGTATTATTTCCAATTTTTAGATTTTTTTTTTTTTTTTTTTTTTTTGAGATGGAGTCTTGCTCTGTCGCCAGGCTGGAGTGCAGTGGCGTGATCTCGGCTCACTGCAATCACCGCCTCCCGGGTTCAAGCCATTCTCCTGCCTCAGCTTCCTGAGTAGCTGGGATTACAGGTGTGGTCTACCACACCCAGCTAGTTTTTGTATTTTTAGTAGAGCCTGGGTTTCATCATGTTGGCCAGGATAGTATTGATCTCCTGACCTCATGATCTGTCCACCTTGGCCTCCCAGAGTGCTGGGATTACAGGCGTGAGCCACAGCGTCTGGCAATTTTTAGCTATTATGAATTGAAGTGTTATGTACATTCTTATACTTGTCTTCAAGTGGACATAAGCTTGGTTAAGGATCTTATATCAGATATATACATATATATTGCAAATAGTTTTCACAGATAGAGGCTTACATATTTAACCTTTTTATGCTGTCTTTTGATTAGCATAACTAAAAGTTTGACTGTCTCATTTATAATTTTTTGTCCTTATGGTTACTACTTGGGAGCTGACTAGAAGGTCTTCGAGTAGCCCATGTGCAGATTTTTTCAATATTTTCTCCTGGAAGTTTTATGAATTTAGATTTAATATTTTGTTCTATAATTTGTCTTGAATTAATTTTTGTTTGTGGACTGAAGTAGGGTAGTTATATCTCTGGAGGCTCTATCTCTCAGTTCTCTTCTGTCTGCAACTTTTAGCATATTATCCCTTAAGATTCTTTGAGGGCCCATGGGAAAGTGTTGAAAGCACTGTACATACTTTTTTAATTGCTGGGGTGTTTGCAGATCCCAATTCAATAAACCAGCTTATACATGCTATCAAAGGTCTGTTCAATATTTGAGTGGTTGCTATTAACAATTATCTATAGTAGATTCCTCTCCTCACAGCACTCTATAAAGGAACAAAGTAAACATGAGCCTCTTCTCTCCTATAAAGGGCTTCTCATGTTCTGCATTTTAGTTGATTTAGTTTTCTTTTTATCCTCAGATTTAAAACTTTTTTAAAAAGAGAAACTATGCCTTTGTAACTTACCTGGCTTATTACTGATGTTAGACAACAATAATCTTTGTGACTTGCTACATCCTAAGTGATACAGGAAGTGCTTAGAGCATACTCTGATGAATGTGAATCCAGGCTCTTACTTTGACAAATACTTCTGTAATGAAAAGATTTTAGCACCAGTTAATTTCAAATTGCCCTGTTTCCTACAATGATGTGTAAAAAATTTTTGTCTACTAAAGAGTACGGATAATATTCTAGTAGAACTACCATTCTAGCTGTTCGTAAAAGATTATTCTATCCACCAAACACTTTATTCTTTCCTCTATTTTTACTATAATATAGGACAGTTAATTCATTTACCTAAATTTACTAAACTAGTAGCATGGCTGATCTGTCAATCTTTTGCCTTTGTGAAAACAAAAGTCATGGGAGAGAAGTAATATACCCTAATGCTCATATGATATAATCTGGTGTAATATAAACATATATTTATTTTAATTTATTATTTTTTGCAAATAACATTAAAAGTAATATCTATATTTTCAAATGAAGAGTACTAGTACCTGGCATATATAAGTAGCTGGGTTAGAATAAATCAACACACTATATGTTTCCTTTTCTTTTCTTTCTTCTTTGTTAGTAAAATTTATGTTTGGTATCAGCTTCCTAGAAACTTTTAAGAACTGACTCCAGTTAGTCTCTGTTTCTGTATACGTTTGTGTGTGTATATATAACCCTTTACATAGCGAAGCATTTCTTTAGCATAAGGAAGGTGTATTACTCCATTCTTGCACTGCTATAAATACCTGAGACTGGGTCATTTATAAGAAAAGAGATTTAATTGGCTTATGGTTCCATAGGCTGTACAGGAAGCATGGCATCATCTGCTTCTGGGGAGGCCTCAGGGAACTTTTACTCAAGGCAGAAGGCAAAGTGGGAGGAGGCGCCTTACAATGCAGTAATAGGACCAAGAGAGGGAGCGGGGAGGTGTTACATAGCTTTAAACAACCATATTTTGTGAGAACTCAAAGCTCCAAGGAGAATGGTGTTAAACCATGAGAAACCACCCTGGTGATCCAGTTACCTCCCACCAGGCCCTACCTCCGATATTACAATTCAACACAAGATTTGGACAGGAACACAGATCCAAACCGTATCAGAAGGTAAATTTTTGTAATATATTTTTGCCTTTGAATGTTTTAGACATTTTTAATAAAAACTTGCTATGAGAGGAAAACTAATTTCAGTAATTCAGATAAAGCAGCTTGAGATTGAATGCATAATTTATTTTAAAATATTCATTTACTTTCTACTTTTTGAGTACATATCATGCTGTTCTTACTCACTTGATACAAAAAAGGTTCAAATAAAATTATAGTGAAGAGCTAATAACTAAGTTAAATGTCCTAGTTTATTTTGTGTTGCCATACAGAGTACCAGAGACTGGGTAATTAATTTAAAAAATTGAAGTTTATATGCCTCAGGGTTTTGAAGGCTGAGAAGGCTAAGAGCTGGCTTCTAGTGAAGGCCTTTGTGATGCAGCAAACCATGGCAGAAGACAGAAGGGCAGGTGAGTACATCAGATAGAGAGAAAGAGGGTATAACTCATGCTTTTGATCAGGAACCTACTCCCGGGATAATTAACTCATCCCCATGGCATATGGCAGCAACCCATTCTTACTATTCTCACCTCTTAATATAATCACAACAGCCATTAAATTTCAACATGGATTTTGGAGGAAACATTCAGACTATAGCATTAAGTAAATAATGAATACTGCTCTTAGCACAGTGGATAGAATCAAAACCTGTGCTTTCTCCTTTCTGTTTGTGTGATCAAGTACAGAAGTACTCAAACGGATGTTCGTGTTTTGGAGGTGGTGAATTAGTAGCGGGCAATCTATGAACCAATTAGTCAATTCAAGTTATCAAGCATAAATAACAAATATACAAAATTCATTGGATGGTGCAATTAATGGTTTAAACCATCAATTTCAATTGTAATTTTCAGTTATATGTTGGATATCATGTGAGTGGATTCTACACAACTGTCTCAACGTATTTATTCAAAGAATAGATGCCTACTGTCATATATGACTAGCTGCTGAAATAACTGAACATGACAATGCTTTGACCCTCTGCATTGTTTTATGTGATGTTTGAGCTGTTAGAGGAATCACAAAAGATATATTTTAAGTGTTGAAGATAATTAATAGGGGTTATAACTTTTTTCTTTTTTTTTTTTTTTAAGATGGACTCTCACTTTGTCACCCAGGCTGGAGTTCTGTGGCGCGATCTCGGCTCACTGCAACCTCTGCCTCATAGGTTCAATTAATTCTCCCACCTCAGCCTCTGGAGTAGCTGGGATTACAGGCATGCACCACCATGCCTGGGTAATTTTTCTATTTTTAGTAGAGACGGATTTCACCATGTTGGCCAAGCTGGTCTCGAATTCTTGACCTCAAGTGATCTGCCCACCTTCACCTCCCAAAGTGCTGGAATTACAGGCGTGAGCCACCGTGCCCAGCCCAATGTTATAGCTTTTCAAAATATCTCACCATATGGCCCATCATTATGCGATATTACTTAGTATTATTGTACTTTATGTTTGATAATAGATACTTTAATTACTTTTTAAACTGAGTTTTATGTCATTTGAAATTATGAACTGATTCATTTGTTATGCATGCTTTTAAACCTTCAGAATTACGAGAAATTGTCCATGATATTCTCACAAACAAATCATATATGTTTTAATATGTATTGATTTCCACCTTGGGTGCTTTCTTTATTCGAGAAATTTTCTTCAGAATTTAGGGGGGTAAACTCTCGTGTCAGACATTTTGGGTTCAAATTATAGCCCTGCCTCATGCTAAAAATATAACTTTGAATAAAGCACATAATCTCTCTAACTCAGCTGTTTCATCTGTAAAGTAGACATATTGAAAGTACGACCTTTATAGCACTGTCGTGAGGATCATTTCAGTAATAAAATATAAAATATAACTTGCCGCATTGAATGGGAAACATTAAATGATAACTACATTTTGTAATATTGCCTAACTTACAAATTTGAGAATGACTTATGACTCAACTACACACACACACACACACACACACACACACACAGTGATTAATTTTATTATACAAATTAATCGATATAATATTTAAATTTTATAGTCTTCTGAAGTAAAGATATATATATGTACTTTTATGGGAAAATTATTTTTATTTAATTAAAAATTAAATCATTTCTACATTAAGATGCACTAACATTTAGAAATTATAAGGAAAACTTTTAAATTTCTAATTGAAGTATGATTTTTTTCCCCTTTATAATAACCTTCTTCTAGTAAGGAGCTTTTTAAATTACCTAATAATTTGTACTGTAGAATTATATTTGCAATTATAAATATAAAGAAAAAATAAATTATCTGGGTAAATATGTTCTCAGATACCTTACATACATATACTTCATTATAAAATTTAAAAATCTTGATTCAATTAAAAATTATGAAATTATTGCTGTATATGCTGTGGTAGATCCTCTATTTTAAAATTAAGCCAGCTGTGGGAATCTGACCCAATGGCAGCCAATTAGTAGAGTTTTCTTTGAAATGTCATGAATGAAATAAAAACAAAGACCAGAAACGTTTCTTTAAAGTTTTAGCTGTTTTCCATATTAATAAATGTATAGGTGTACATGAGTGTGCATGCACACATACATACACATACACATAAACAAACACATACCTCCTTTTGAAAAAAAGTGTATATGGACAAATAGCCAGTAAATATGTCCTCATAAATGGGTTGTTTTCAAAATAAAATAACATTTGAATTGTGTTATTTTTCTCTCAAATTCTATAAGTGAGCTCATGTGAGTAGCACATCAAAATTTTTTCAGCACTGACACATTCATTTGAAACAAGAGAAACTGTCATTTGTTTAATGTTTTATGCACCAAATAAAAATATTAGAAAAACTTCTGTGTTGATTGCTATTCAAAACCATTTATTAAAATTCCACAAAATATAATGTGAAGCAAAGCTAGCTTAGGTAAAATAAATTCTTACAAAAAATGATAAGAACAGACTTACAAACTGATTTTCAATCATATTTATATTTGATTTTGACATTTTTGAAATTTTAGGATAACAAAGTACTACAGAAAAATAAGAATATTTTCATTTGTATTAAAACATTCAAATATAAATTTTGAGAGGAAACATTGTTCCATTAGTGAGATATTCAGTCATCTCAATGGATTATAATTGAAACAATGAGACACTTATCTATAAAATTCTGAATAAAATCTTAAGGCTAATGCATGTTTCACTCTCTGATTGAAATATATAACTACCTAAATTGGCTTCCAGAAAAGCAGGGACTTAAGAGTTCTAGGTTATGCTACTGTCTTAATGACTCAGCCTTATGTTTAGGGAGACTACACGTAGTGGAATTTCTGGAGATTTTACTAATGAGGTCTTACCAAGAATATGAACTGTGAAAGACTTAAACAGAACATGAAATATCTTACTACAAATGCCTATTGAAACCTTTATTTAGCTCTTTGAGAAATTGCCACACCGCTTTCCATGATGGTTGAACTAACTTACACTCCCACCAACAGCGTATAAAGATTCCCTTTTCTGCACAACCTCGCCAACATCTGTTACTTTGCAACTTCTAGTAATAGCCACTCTGACAGGTATGAGATGATATCTCACTGTGGCTTTGATTTGCATTTCTCTAATGCTCAGTGATAATTGAATTTTTTTTTCACATGCTTGTTGGCCACATGTATGTCTTCTTTTGAAAAGTGTGCTCATGTCCTTTGCCTCCTTTTTAATGTGGCTCTTGGTGTTTTGCTTGTAAACTTGTTTAAGGTCCTTATAGATACTATATATTAGACCTTTGTCAAATGCATAGTTTGCAAATATTTTCTCCTGTTCCATAGGTTGTCTGTGTACTCTGTTGATAGTTTCTTTGGCTATGGTGAAGCTCTTACATTTAAATACATCCTATTTGTAAATTTTTGCTTTTACTAACATTGCTTTTGGGATCTTTGTCATGAAATCTTTGCCAGTTTCTAGGTCCAGGATGGTATTTTTCTAGGTTGTCCTTCAGGGTTTTTATAGTGTTGGTTTTCACATTTAAATCTTTATTCTGCCTTGAGTTCATTTTTGTATGTGAAGTAAAAAATGGGTGCAGTTTAAATCTTCTCCATGTGGCTAGCCAGTTATCCCAACACCATTTATTGAATAGGAGGGAGTCTTTTCTCCATTGCTTGTTTTTGTCACTTTGTCAAAAATCAGATAATTTTAGGTGGGCAGCCTTATTTCTGGGCTCTATATTCTGTTCCATTAGTCTATGTGTCTGTTTTTATACCAGTGCCACACTGTTTTGGTTACTGTAGCCCTGTAGTGTATGTATGTATACCTGTGTATATATATATTTCTTTTTTCACAAATAAACCAACTTTAGTAGATATTATTTTGTATTTATATAGAACCTTCTTCAAGAACCTTAAGTGCTTTACAGATGTTATCTCTAATTAATCCCCACAACAACACTGTGAGGTAAGTATTACTCTCATTTTACAAGATACGGAGACTGAAGTACAGAGAGGTTAAGTGACTTGCCCAAGGTCACACAGTTAAATTCACTGAAGAGCCAGGACATGAGTGCTTTAGCCTCCCAGCTCCCAGCCAAATACTTCATGATGGAATGTTTAATAAAAAGTGTTTTTAAGAAAGTATTAAGAGTAGTTATGTTATGAAAATGAGGTCTTTCTACTGCCATCAAGGAAAGAAAAAACCCTATACTGATGGTTAGAGGCCACAAGACCCACATAATACAGCATTTCCTTCTTTCCCTGTGCCCAAACCTCCTGGTTCCTGTCTTAAATAATCTTTTAAAGGTAAAGTTTCCAAGACAGAAGCCATGAGACTTAAGAAGTGGGATTTAATTTAGAATATTTACTTTTAGTTACAATAATTTATAGAAATTTTTATTCCAATATACAAAATATGGGACAGCCATCCCAACAATCATGTACATAGTTACATGGCAATCAGCCACCGTTTACAACTTACACCAGCCTCGCATTTTAATCACAGTCAACCAACATACAACCTCACAATGCTTTCTTCATGGGTCACTTTTCTTACTATACCTGTATTTTTCCCCCAACCCTGACCCTATATATTTTAAAAGTATATTGAGTTTCTGATAAACTTCAAAACATTTTACTTAGATCCAGCTGCATTAAGAAGAAAAAGTAAATGTGAAACTGTCACCCCACAGTCCCTCCCCTGACAAATCATACTACGAAGTATGGTGCAGATGTGAACAAAGTATGTGACTACCAGCAACTCAATACATATACTAGAACTTGCTTTAATATGAAATTTAACTTGGCTTTTACTGTATTTTTTTTGCAAAAATGTAAAAACAAACACAACATAGTATTTCAATGCTGTACCTTTACGCAAATGACTTCATCTATCTTTCTTAAACATGTTGTGATATAGCTAATGTTAAAACTGACACAGCTTCACTTTCCTCTTTTTCTCTGTACTGAAAGTTGCAGAAATACAGCTTTAATTCCAAAACAATTTGGTTTAAGCCCTCAAAATAAAAAGTGTGCATCCACTTCCACTGCCCTGACTTTCCCCACATTGTTGATTGTGATTCTCTGGCAAGTTGGTAGATCAGGCAGGCTGTATATCATTTGTACAAAACATCTCTAGCCAGGGTAAGGCTTTAGAAACTATTTTAAAAAGAAACTTGCCAAAATACTTTTGATATTTAGTACAAATACTAAATATTATAATTTTCTCCCAGCACATCTGTTTAAGCAGCCCAGTTACCTAAATGACCCTGTTAAAAGTCTGCTTATGGAACAAATACGTGAAGTAATTTCCTGAGCCAAAAGGTACAGATAACAAATGTTAATAATAGCAGCAGACTAAAAACATTCCGTTTTGTTGTTTGTTTTCCGTAGTCAACAGTCTTAGCAAAAGAACTTTAGAAAATGGCAGATTTTTTTTTTAATTTACTGCTTGAAAAGAGTTTAATAAAGAACATCCAAGGCCTGATTGCTATTATTCTCAATATAACTTTCAATAACTTTCTGCAAGTTACATTTGGCTACTGTCAGACAACTTACTGATACATGGAAAAATGTCCAAAAAAACTGCAGTGGTTTACATACATTTTACATTACATATATTACTTCTTAAAACCCCCAACAGAATGAAGTCTTAGCAAACACAAATTTTAATTTCTGAACACCCTTCCAGTAAGATTTGTAAAGGTGGGGGGAAGGGGAGGAAGGACTTGTTTTTTGTATTCCTAGTCTACTTGATTAAAATGTAATCTTCAAAGGGTTTGTTTAGCTCACTATCCAGGCCGCTAGGGTTATGATGAACATTATTACTTCTTTCCAAGGTAAAAAATGATATCTGAAAATAACATAAATGCTATGACATGATTTTCCCAAGCATGACCTCAACTTGAAACATTAGAATTCTTAAGAATTCTAAAGATTGGTATACCACCACTGCACCAGAATTTTTAATTATTCCAACAACTACAGGAATTTTTTATATAGTTTTTTAATTTTATGAAATTAAAGCTGAAGAAAATAACTGATTTAGAAGCCATAATAAAAGGACAAATATTTAGCCAGAGATATCAGTTCCTCCTGAAAAGGATATTTACCTCCTCTCATTGCAGTTTTTCTCAAGGTATCTTACTGATTTCAGATATAATTTAAAATTCGCCTTAAAAATAGAAACAAAAGGACCAGCTAAAATGACATTAACTGATAAAAATATGCTCAAATTTACTGACAGAATCATGGGCACTTCATACAATACTTAGACTCTACCAGTTTTAAGTAAAATAAATAAGGAAAAAATTATAATTACATAGCCAGTCTTTCCCCTTGTGGAAACAAAAAGCCACTTTTGACCAATTGCTCCCTACATATACATATACTGTATATTATTATAAGCTTCTTCAGAGAAGCAAAGCATCTTTGTCTTCCCGACACTGGATTATCTAGCATGTTAGTTTTTACATCAGGAAGGCAACTGCAAGTGTTGGGCCCAAAAGTATTTCTGGTTTACTCTTGAAAAGACCACTGAATATGCTTCTATACATACTGAACCAGGCAAATTTATGCAGTGCGTTCAACATCATCTCCTTATCAATACAGCCCAGATTCCGATTCTTTCTACTGCACCCCTAAGGAATTCAAAGCATTATTGGTGCAATTAGCAAAGAGGAAATGCCTGTCAATGACTGGAAGGCTGTTTTACAAGAGGAGCTGGTATGGATTTCACCTCCTTGTTGTATGGAACTGTACAGACAGCATGATACCTGAGCAAATAAATCAACTACCATGATCAGAAGGGCTTGTCAATCCATCGTTTTTGCTTTATCGTGTGCAAAGCCTGCTACTGCCCCCTGAGCTTCCTGCATTTCTCTTTTCTTGAAAAATCAGTGCTTGATCCTTTCCAAAATAACCAGAAAAGAAATGAGGCAGAAAGTATCTCTTCATCGCGGTTCCCCCTCAGTCCCGAGACTGATAGAAAAGGATGTAACCAGACTCAGAGTTCTTTGAGTATCTGATGTCAACCCGTAGAATTCTTCAATAGCTTGTGTATCTATTTTTTCTACAATGTCGTCATCAAACAACAACCAAAAATCATGACTCTTAACTATCGCAATATAATGGCCTCGATTGGGACCACTTCCACAGTGAACCACAACAGCAACAAGGTCGTACATTCTGTCTGGATTGGTGGCATCACCTGAAGTGTTAAATAGACGAAGTTCTAAAGGAAAAACCACCCGGTAAGAGAGTTTTGTATATCGATGAAGTTGATCCATATATTTAAATCTCTTCAAGTGTACAGCTAGAATCATGGGCAGTTTTTAAACTTTCATCCGTTTGTGTGCTTCCTGTTTGCTGCGACACTCTTCACAGTAATACTTGTATTAACTGCATAGAGTTTCTGTGTTGCTGAAACCCCTTAAGCAGTGAGTAATTGATGTATTTTGTTCCACGTCAACAGAAAGGTCTAAAAAATCTCCATCTTTGCTGCTTATAGTTTCACAAGTAAGACGTCTGGTTTCATTAGTTAACGTTCCCCGAAAAATCTCATGAACCCACGTTGGGTCTGGTGTGCTGCTATTATTTTCATTATCAATATTATCATTAGGTTAGCGACCATTTTGTTTTTCCTGCTTTCTCTCTTCTTGTAAAATATCACCAATTGTATTTAGTAGGTAATTTAAGAATTCATGGGCATCTTGTTGCATGTAGTTGTCGAAAAGCTCATTTTCTTTCTGTAATCTTGTGATGAACTTCTTCGGAGGTATTACTCCAACCTTTTTCTTCTGAGTGGCTATGCTGTGGAAGAGATCTGCTAAGCATGTAAGAAAGCTCTCCTTTTTCCTAGGTTGACTCTTATATGCAAGAACTTTTTCCCGAAACGGACGACAAAAATAAAGTGCTTGAAGAACTGAATTGCAGTAGCAGGTATTCCCAAAATTGACTAATCCAAAATAATGCTCGTTGACCGGAAACTGTTCTGGACCAATCTATTTCTCTAATGCCGAAGCATTGGCGCCCATGGTACAGATGGAGGCGAATTTGGAGACTGTCATTAGGATTTCCATCTGGCCAGCGCCATCTTCCACCCAATCATAGTGGCGGAGCCGGGCGGGGGAGGACGGGAGCCGGGCCCCCCGCTTGCACCGTAGCCCGCGGGTGGACCCCGAGCCGCCGCCGACCCACGCACCGAGCCCACTAGGCCTCCACTGCCGTCATCGCCGCCGGCTCCTCAGGTACTCCCGGCCCTAGTCCCCGTCAGCCGGCCGCTTTTTTTTTTTTTTTTTTTTGAGTTTTTTTTTTTTTTTTTTTTTTGAGTTTCCTCTCTGTCGCCCAGGCTGGAGTGCAATGGCGCGATCTCGGCTCACTGCAACCTCTGCCTCCCGGGTTCAAGCGATTCTACTGCCTCAGCCTCCTGAATAGCTGGGAATACAGGCGCGTGCCACAATGCCCAGCTAAATTTTGTATTTTTAGTAGAGATGGGGTTTCACCATGTTGGTCAGGCTGGTCTCGAACTCCTGACCTCGTGATCCGCCCTCCCCAAGTGCTGAAATTACAGGCGTGAGCCACTGCGCACGGCCCCGCCCTGTAGTATATTTTGCAGTTGGGTACCGTGATGCTTTCATTTCTGTTCTTTTTGCTTAGGATTGCCTTAGCTACTCAGGCTCTTTTTTGTTTCCATATGAATTTTATAATAGTTTTATCTAGTTCTTTGAAGAATATTATTGGTAGTTTGATAGGAATAGCATTGAATCTGTAAATTGTTTTAGGCAGTATGACCATTTTAGTGATACTGATTTTTCCTGTTCATGAGCATGGAATGGTTTTTCATTTATTTGTGTGATGTCTGATTTCTTTCTGCATTGTTTTGTAATTCTCACCATAGAGCTCTTTGACCTAACTGGCTAGCTGTATCATTTTTTTGTGGCAGTTGTAAATGCAATTGCATTCCTGATTTGGCTCTCAGCTTGGCTGTTGGTGAATAGGAATGCTAATGATTTTTGTGCATTGATTTTGTATTCTGAAACTTTGCTAAAGTTGTTTATCAGGTTAAGAAGCTTTGTGGCCATGACTATGGGGTTTTCTAGATATAGAATCATTTCTTCTGCAAACAGGGTAGTTTGACTTTCTCTCTTCCTATTTGTATGCCATTTATTTATTTCTCTTACATTATTTCTCTGGCCAGGACTTCCAATACTATGATGAACAGGTGTGGTGGGACAGGGCATCCTCATCTTGTGCCAGTTTTCAAGGGGAATACATTCAGCTTTTGACTGTTTAGTATGATTTTGTCTGTGGATTTATGATAGACGGCTCTTATTATTTTTAAGTTGTTCATTACTGGGTAACATATAGGAAAATAAATATAGTAAAATAAAAGGAATAGAAGTTGTTCTACCACAAAGACACATGTATGCATATGTTCATTGTAGCACTATTCGCAATAGCAAAGACATGGAATCAACGTAAATGCCCATCAATGACAGACTGAATAAATAAAATGTGGTACATATATACCATGGAATACTATGCAGCCAGAAAAAAGAATATTATATCCCTTCTGGGAACATGGGTGGAACTGGAGGCTATTATTCTAGCAAACTAATACAGGAACAGAAAACCAAATACTGCATGTTCTCACTTATAAGTGGAAGCTAAATAATGAGAACACATGGCAACAAAAAGGGGAACAAAAGATACTTAGGCCTACTTGAGGGTGGAGGGTGGAAGGAGAAGGAGAATCAGAAAAAATAACTATTGGGCACTATGCTTAGTACCTGGGTGACAAAATTTGCACAAGCCCCTACAACATGAGTTTGTCAATATAAAAATCCTGCACATGTACCCCTAAACCTAAAATAAAACTTGTTTAAAGACAATTTTACTTTAGCCGGCCTGGCGCGGTGGCTCACACCTGTAATCTCAGCACTTTGTGAGGCCGAGGTAAATGGATCATGAGGTCAGGAGTTCGAGACCAGCCTGACCAACATGGTGAAATCCCGTCTCTACTAAAAATACAAAAATTAGCCTGGTGTGGTGGCATGTGCCTGTAATTGCAGCTACTCAGGAGTCTGGGCAGGAAAATCGCTTGAACCCAGGAGGGGGGGGTTGCAGTGAGCAGAGATCACGCCATTGCACTCCAGCCTGGGTGACAGAGCGAGACTTCATCTCAAAAAAAAAAAAAAAAAAGTCTTACTTTAAGTTCTGGAATACATGTGCAGAATGTGCAGGTTTCTTACATAGATATACATGTGCCATGGTAATTTGCTGCATCTATCAACCCATCATCTAGGTTTTAAGCACTGCATGCATTAGGTATTTGTCCTAATACTCTACCTCCCCTTGCTTCCTACCCCTGACAGGCCCCAGTGTGTGATGTTCCCCTCCCTGTACCCATGTGTTCTCATTGTTCAACTCCCAGTTATGAGTGAGAACATGAAGTGTTTTGTTTTCTGTTCCTGTATTAGTTTGCTGAGAATGATGGCTTCCAGCTTCATTCATGTCCCTGCAAAGAACATGAACTCATTCTTTTTTATGGCTGCATAGTATTCCATGGTATATATGTGGTGCATTTTCTTTAGTCTATCATGGATGGGCATTTGGGTTGGTTCCAAGTCATTGCTATTGTGAACAGTGCCACAGTAAAAATACATGTACATGTGTCTTTATAGTAGAATGATTTATAATCCTTTGGGTATATACCCCATAATGGGATTGCTGGGTCAAATGGTATTTCTGGTTCTAGATCCTTGAGGAATTGCCACACTGTCTTCCACAATGGTTGAAATAATTTACACTCCCACCAACAGTGTAAAAGCGTTCCTATTTCTCCACGGCATCACTGGCATCTGTGGTTTCCTGACTTTTTAATAATTGCCATACTAACTGGTGTGAGATGGTATCTTACTGGTTTTGCTTTGCATTTCTTTAATGACCAGTGATGATGAGCTTTTTTTCATATGTTTGTTGGCCGCATAAATGTCTTCTTTTGAGAAGTGTCTGTTGATATGTTCATATTCTTTTCCCACTTTTTGATGTGGTTTTTTTTTCTTGTAAATTTAAGTTTCTTGTAGATTCTGGATATTAGCCCTTTGTCGGATGGATTACAAAAATTTTCTCCCATTCTGTAGGTTTCTTGTTCACTCTGATGATAGTTTCTTTTGCTGTGCAGAAGCTCTTTAGTTAAATTAGATCCCATTTGTCAATTTTGACTTTTGTTGCAATTGCTTTTGGTGTTTTAATCATGAAGTCTTTGCCCATGCCTACATCCTGAATAGAAAAAAAACTACTTTAAATTTCACATGGAACCAAAAAGGGGCCTGTATAGCCAAGACAATTGTAAGCAAAAACAACAAAGCTGGAGGCATCATGCTACCTGACTTCAAACTATACTACAAGGCTACAGTAACCAAAACAGCATGGTACTAGTACCAAAACAGATATATGGACCAATGGAACAGAACAGATACCTCAGATATAACACCACACATGTACAACCATCTGATCTTTGACAAACCTGACAAAAATGAGCAACAGGGAAAGGATTCCCTATTTAATAAATGGTGCTGGGAAAACTGGCTAGCCATATGCAGAAAACAGAAACTGGACTCCTTCCTTACACCTCATACAAAAATTAACTCAAGACGAATTAAAGTCTTAAATATAAAACCATAAAACCCTAGAAGAAAACCTAGGCAACTTTTTTTTTAAAATAAAAGAAATAAAACCTGTATTTGAACAGTATTAAGGCATTTTACAGTGCTTATTCTGTGTTGTATCAGCACCATTTTAACACGCTATGTACAATATAAGTAGTAGGTAAATTCAGCCTTCAATCTACTGGTGCATCACCATTGTTTACATTAAATGACAACAATGTAAAATCATAATTTTTACCTTTTTTCAGAAGCAGAAGCAAATGTAGGAAAGATGATTTCTAATATAAGAGAATTATGCATAATTTTGGTATTTGGCTTTCTTGCCTTTATAGGATTACCACTTTACAATAAATGAGAAAGAAAGGTGCAAAGTCATTTTCCTAAAAAAGAGCATGTAGAGTCTTAAAAATGTTATAGAACCAGTCCATCGTCAACAGCTATTTCGAAGCACAAGACTAATAATTGTCTGTATGTATATACCATTGCCAATGGCTAAATTACAAAGGGAAACTTGTAGAATGCCTGCTTCTTAAAATGTCTTTATCATGCACATTTTCAAAGGAGAAGGCATATTTACTATAACAATTGAATTTCTTTGAGTCTGTGTAAAGGAGATGTTTGCACTCTCAGAATAATATAGATTTCTTTAAAAGCTTTTCCCAAGGGAAAATTTATACTTTCATTTATAGTTTCTATGTAATTTTCCCATATAGTATGCAATTTGGTTTTATATGCAAAACAGAGCTGTGTCTTCAAATTTACATAGTCACATAAGATAATATAGGTATAAATCAACATTTATAAATCTAATAATCACATAATAAAGAAATAAAGTAATGTAATACCATTTATACATATATAGACAGAGAGATAAAGGCAGCAGTAGAGATAGGAAGAGAGATAGAGAGAGAAAGACGGAAACAGAGAGAGAGATTTATTATGGGAATTGGTTCATGAAATTATGGAGACTGAGAAGTCCCACCATTTTTCATGTGCAAGCTGGAGAATCATGAAAGCCAGTGATATAATTTTGTATACTTCTAAAGGCCTGAAAACTGCGGGATCCACTGGTGTAAGTCCTGGAGACCACAGGCCTGAGAACCAAGAGCGTCAATATCTGAGAGCAGAAGACGAATGTTCCAGTTCAAGAAGAGAGATAATTTGCCCTCCTTCTGCCTTTTTGCTATATTTGGGCTCTCAGTAGATTGGCTGACACCTGACAGATTGTTAGAAGTGGTTTGTCTTTACTCAGTCTATTGATTCAAATGCCAGCATCTTCCAGAAACACTCTCACAGACATACTCAGAAATTATGTTTTTCCAGCTCTCAGGGCATCGCTTAGCCCAGTTAAGTTGATGCCTAAAGTTAACTATTACAACAGCCTTTGGAGTCTGACTACTGCCACGTGCATTTGAAATTCAGGCATTTTATTGTTTGTATCACTATTTTTTTTTTTTTTGCCAAATTGTATTCAATTATGTAGATATACAAATGTTTATTTGTGTATACAGTTGAAGAACATTTTACTTGTATTCAGTTTTGGTTGATTACAAGGAAAGGATACTATAAACATTGACGTATAGGTTTATATATGAATATATTTTTTATTTCACTTGGGTAAAAACCTAGGAGTGTAGTTTCTAGAAATGACGAGTATTTGCTGCACTTTATTTTTTAAAAAATGGCCAAAATGTTTTCCATATTAGATGCACACTTCCTCATTCCTACCAGTAATATATGAGTGTTCCAGTTACTCAGCATACTCAGATTTAAAAAAAAAAAACCCATTTTCATTTTAAAATGCATTTCCAGAATGCCTAATAATGTTAAGAATTTTATATTGCACTTACCTGTCAATTATATTTCCTCAGTGGTGAAGTTTTTAAATCTTTCATCTATTTTATTGGAGTATTTTGTTGTTGTTGTTGTTATTGAGTTTTTCAAGAGTTATTTTTGTGTTCCTCATAGAAAGCCATTATTAATTACAGAATTTATAAATATTTCCCCCCAAAAAACTGCCTTTTTTATCCTCTTCACATGTCTTTGAAAGAGTGGATATTTTGAGCTTACAACTGGGAAGGACCAAGGTGGCCAACTAGAAGCAGCAATGATCAGAGGCTCCCATCGAAAAGATCCCAAACAGCATGGAATCCTGCATTGGAAACTAAGGTATCTAGATTTTGTCATTAGCACTGACTAGGCTTCTGGCATTACCCAGAGAGAGGAAGGAAGAGCAGTGGAAGGAAGCCTCCCACCTAAGGGCCACACAGGGCAGGGGAGCCCCCACCCTCAGCCAAGGGAGGCAGTGAGTGAGCGTGCTATCCAGCCTGGGAAACCGTGCTTTCTCCACAGAACTGTGCAACACATGGATCAGAGGATCCCACTCGTGAGCCCATGCCACCAGGGCTTGGCTCCCAACCATAGAGGTGTGCAAATTCACAACAGCCACTTGTTCTAGAATCTGCCTAAGCCTGCCAAGTTCCAGGGGAAGGGGCGGCCATCACCACTGCTGCAGCTGCCTGCTTTCTAAGCCAGCTGAGCTCTTTGGGGGAAGGGTGGCAGCAACACTTCCACTGCAGGGACTCCCTGCAAGAACTCCAACAGCTCCAGCTAGGGGCTCAGGAACAAAACTCTGATCTCCCTGGGACTGAGCCCCTAAGGGGATGGTTGGTCTTAGTCTCCACAGACCAGGAGACTTAGTCTTTCCTCCTACTAGCTCTGAGGAATCTGGGAAGCCCTGATGAGTGAGTTTCCCTCCAGTGCAGCACACCCCCTCTACCAAGGGACAGCCAAAGTGCTTTGTTAAATGAATCCTGCTTCCCATGCCATCCAACTGGGTGAGACCCCCCCCACCGCCCCAACAAACAAGGGTTGTCAGACACTCTAAACAGGAGCATTCCTACTGGCATCAGGTCAGTTCCCCTCGAGGTCAGAGATCCCAGAATAAGGAGAAGGCATCCATGTTTGCTCTTCTCCAGGCTCCTTGAGTGACATCTCCAGGTGCAGGAGGGAACCAGATAAAGGGGGCCTGAAGTTAACCCCCTGGCAAACCACAGCAGCCCTACAGAAGAGGGACCTGACTATTGAAAGAAAAATAAACAAACAGAAAGCAACAACAACAGCATCAACAAAAGTCCCCACAGAAACTTCATCCAAGGGTCAACAGTCTCAAAGATTGAAACTAGACAAACTCATGAAGATGAGAAAGAATCAGCAAAACAAACAAAATGCTGAAAACCCAAAAGGCCAGAGTGCCTCTTCTCCTCCAAATAATTGCAACACCTCCCAGCAAGGGTGCAGAACTGGACGGAGAATGAGATGGATGAACTGACAGAAGTAGGCTTTAGAAAGTGGGTAATAACAAACTTTGCTGAAGTAAAGGAGGATGGTCTAACCCAATGGAAAGAAGTTAAGAAACTTGTTAAAATGTTACAGAAGCTGCTAACTAGAATAACCAGTTTAAGGAGGAACATAATGACCTGATGGAGCTGAAAAACACAGCATGAGAACTTTGTGAAGCATACACAAGTATTAATAGCTGAATCAATCAAGTGAAAAAAAAATGTCAGAAATGAAAGACTATCTTGCTGAAATAAGGCAGGCAAAAAAAATAAATAAAAAGGAACAAACAAAACCTCCAAGTAATGTGAGACTATGTAAAAAGACCAGTATCTGAAAGAGATGGAAAAAATGCAACCAAGTTGGAAAACACACTTCAGGATATTATCTAGGAGAAATTCCTGAACCTAGCAAGACAGGCCAACATTCAAATTCAGAAAATACAGAGAATTCCACCAAGATAGTTCATGAGAAGATCAATTCCAAGACAGATAATCATCAGGTTCTCCAAGGTTGAAATGAAGGAAAAAATGTTAAGGGCAGCCAGAGAGAAAGGCCAGGTCACCTACAAAGGGAAGCCCATCAGACTAACAGCAGATCTCTCAGCAGAAAACCTACAAGCCAGAAGAAAGTGGGGGCCAATATTCAACATTCTTTTTTTTTTTTTTTTGAGACAGAGTCTCGCACTCTTGCCCAGGCTGGAGTGCAGTGGCGCGATCTCAGCTCACTGCAAGCTCTGCCTCCCGAGTTCATGCCATTCTCCTGCCTCAGCCTCCTGAGTAGCTGGGACTACAGGCACCCGCCACCACGCCCGGCTAATTTTTTGTATTTTTAGTAGAGACGGGGTTTCACCGTGTTAGCCAGGATGGTCTTGATCTCCTGACCTTGTGATCCTCCCGTCTTGGCCTCCCAAAGTCAACATTCTTAATGAGAAGAATTTTCAACCCAGAATTTAATATCAGGCCAAATTAAGCTTCATAAGAGAAGGAGAAATAAAATCCTTCTCAGACAAGCAAATGCTAAGGAAATTCATCACCACAAGGCCTGCTTGCAAGAGCTCCTGAAGGAAGCACTAAATATGGAAAGGAAAAACCAGTACCAGCCACTGAGAAATTCACCAAAACATAAAAACTAATGACACTATGAAAAAACAGTATCAACTAGTGTGCAATATGACCAGCTAGCATCATAATGACAGAATCAAATTCACACATAACAATATTAACCTTAAATGTGAATGGGCTAAATGCCCCAATTAAAAGACACAGACTTGCAAACTGAATAAAGAGTCAAGACCTATCAGAGTATTGTATTCAAGAGACCCATCTCACAAGCAAAGACAGACATAGGCTCAAAATTAAGGGATGAAGGAAAATTTACTCAGAAAAATGGAAAGCAGAAAAAAGCAGGTGCTGCAATCATAGTCTCTGACAAAACAGACTTTAAACCAACAAAGATTAAAAAAAAAAAGACAAAGAAGGGCATTACATAATGATAAAGGGATCAATTAAACAGGAAGAGCTAACTATTCTAAATATACATGAACCCAATACAAAAGCACCCAGATTCATAAAACAAGTTTATAGAGACCTACAAAAAGACTTCAACTCCCACACAATAATAGTGAGACTTTAGCACACCACTGTCAATATTAGAGCAACAAGACAATATTTACAAGGATATTCAGGACTTGAACTCAGCTCTGGATCAAGTGGACCTAATAGATATATACGGAACTCTCTACCCTCAAACAAAAGAATATACATTCTTCTCAGTGCCACATGGTACTTACTCTAAAATTGACCACATAATTGGAAGTAAAACATTCCTCGGCAAATGCAAAAGAACTGAAATCATAATAGTCTCTCAGACCACAGTGCAATCAAATTAGAACTCAGGATTAAGAAACTCATGCAAAACCACACAACTTTACGGAAATTGAACAACTTGCTCCTGAATGACTCTTGGGTAAATAATGAAATTAAGGCAGAAATCAAGAAGTTATTTCAAACCAATGGGAAGAATGAAACAACATACTAGAATCTCTGGAACGCAGCTAAAACTGTGTTAAGAGGGGAAGTTATAGCACTAAATGCCCACATCGGAAAGCTAGAAAGATCTCAAATCAACACCTTAACATCACAATTAAAAGAACTAGAAAAACAAGAGCAAACAGCTCCAAAAGCTAGCAGAAGACAATAAATAACTAAGATTAGAGCAGAACTGAACGAGATAGAGAAACGAAAAACTCTTCAAAAAAAATCAATGAATCAAAGAGCTAGGTTTTTGAAAAACAAATAATAAAATAGATAGAATGCTAGCTAGACTGATAAAGAAGAAAGGAGCAAAATCAAATGGATGAAACAAAAAATGATGAAGGGGATAATATCACTGACCCCACAGAAATACAAACTACCACCAGAGTATACTATAAACACCTCTATGCAAATAAACTAGAATATCTAGAAGAAATTGATAAATTCCTCAACAAATACACCCTCCCAACACTAAACCAGGAAGACATCAAATCCCTGAAAAGAGCAATAACAGGTTCTGAAATTGAGGCAGTAATAAATAGTCTACCAACTAAAAAAAGCTAAGGAAAGACAGATTCACAGCTGAGTTTTAGCAGAGGTACAAAGAGGAGCTGCTATCATTCCTTCTGAAACTATTACAAACAATTGTAAAGGAGCTACTCTTCCCTAACTCATTTTATGAGGCCAGCATCATCCTAATACCAAAACTTGGCAGAGACATAATAGCAACAACAACAAAAAAACCTTCAGGCCAATATATCTGATGAAGATCAATGCAAAAATCCTCAGTAAAATACTGGCAAACTGAATCCAGCAGCACTTCGAAAGCTTATCCACCTTAATCAAGTTGGCTTCATCCCTGGGATGCAAAGCTGGTTCAACATGCACGAATCAATAAACGTAATTCATCACATAAATAGAACCAATGACAAAACCACATGATTATCTCAATAGATGCAGAAAAGGCCTTTGATAAAATTCAACACCGCTTCATGCTAAAAACTCTCAATAAAGTAGGTATTGATGTAACACATCTCAAAACAATGAGATCTATTCATGACAAACCCACAGCCAATATCATACTGATTAGGCAAAAGCTGGAAGCATTCCCTTTGAAAACCAGCACAAGGCAAGGATGCTCTCTCTCACCACTCCTACTCAACATATTATTGGAAGTTCTGGCCAGGGCAATCAGGCAAGAGAAAGAAATAAAGAGTATTAAAATAGGAAGAGGGGAAGTCCAATTGTCTCTGTTTGCAGATGACATGATTGTATATTTAGAAAACTCCATCGTCTCAGCCCCAAAACTTCTTAAGCTGATAAGCAACTTCAGCAAAATCTCAGGATACAAAATCAATGTGCAAAAATCACAAGCATTCCTATACACAAACAATAGACAAGCAGAGAGGCAAATCATGAATGAACTCCCATTTACAATTGTTACAAAGAGAATAAAATACCTAGGAATACAGCTAACAAGTGATGTGAATGACCTCTTCAAGAACTACAAACCACTGCTCAAGGAAATAAGAGAGGATCCAAACAGATGGAAAAACATTCCATCCTCATAGATAGCAAGAATCAATATAGTGAAAATGGCCATATTGCCCAAAGTAATTTATAGATTCAACGTTAATCCCATCAAACTACCATTGATATTTTTCACATAATTAGAAAAAAACTACTTTAAAATTCATAAGGAACCAAAAAAAGAGCCCACATAGCCAAGACAATCCTAAGCAAAAATAACAAAGCTGGAGGCATCACGTTACTTGGCTTCAAACTATACTACAAGGCTACAGTAACCAAAGCAGCATGGTACTTATACCAAAACAGACATATAGACCAATGGAAGAGAATAGAGACTTCAGAAATAAGACCACACATCTCCAACCATCTGATCTTCAACAAACCTGACAAAAACAAGCAATGGGAAGAGGATTCCCTATTTAATAAATGGTGCTGTGGAAACAGTCTAGTCACATGCAGAAAATTGAAACTGGATGCCTTCCTTACACCTTATACAAAAATTAACTCAAGATGAATTAAAGAATTGAATGTAAAACCCAAAATGATAACAACCCCAGAAGAAAACCTAGGCAATACCATCATGACATAGGCATGGGCAAAGATTTTATGATGAAATCACTAAAAGCAATTACAACAAATTGACAAATGGGATCTAATTATACCAAAGCACTTCTGCATAGCAATAGAAACTATCATCAGAGTGAACAGGCACCCTATAGAATAGAAGAAAATTTTTGCAATCTACACATCTGACAAAGGTCTAATATCCAGAATTTACAAGGAACTTAAACAAATTTACAAGACAAAAACAAATAACCCCATCAAAAAGTGGGCAAAGGATATGAATAGAAACTTCTCAGAAGAAGTTGTGCATTATGCAGCCAATAGTCGTATGAAAAAAAGCTCAATATCATTGATCATTAGAGAAATGCAAATCAAAATCACAGTGAGATACCATCTCCCACCAGTCAGACTGGTGAATATTAAAAAGTCAAGAAACAACAGATGCTGGTGAGGCTATGAAAAAATAGGAACACTTCTATGCTGTTGGTGGAAATGTAAATTAGTTCAACCATTGTGGAAGACAGTGTGGCAATTCCTCAAGTATCTAGAACTGATACATGTACATGTATGTTTATTGCAGCACTATTCACAATAGCAAAGACATGGAACCAACCCAAATGCCCATTGATTATAGACTGGATAAAGAAAATGTGGTACATATACAGCATGGAATACTATGCAGCCATAAAAAGGAATGAGATTATATCTTCTGCAGAGACATGGATGAAGCTGGAAGCCATTATCTTCAGCAAATTAACACAGGAACAGAAAACCAAACACCACATGTTTCACTCATAAGTGGGAGTTCAACAATGAGAACACATGGAAACAGGGAAGGAAACAACACATATCAGGGCCTGTCGTGGGGGATGGTGAGGAGAGGGAGATCATCAGGATGAACAGCTAATTCATGTGGGGCTTAAAACCTAGGTGATGGGTTGATAGGTGCAGTAAACCACCAAGGCAGATGTGTACCTACGTAACAAACATACCCATTCTGTACATGTATCCCAGAACTTAAAAAGTGGATATTTTTAATATTTATAAAGTCCAGCACATGAACTTTTTATTATAAATTGTGCTTTTAGTGTTGCATCTAAGAAATATTTGCCAAACCCAAAGTCAGTTTTTTCTAGAAATTTTATAAGATTATGTTTTATATATAGGTCTATAATATATCGGAGTTAGTTTTTGTAATGTGAGAATAGTATGGATATTGTTATTATTAATGTCTTTGCATAGAGATATGCAACATATGTTGAAAAGATAATTTTTTTCCAATAAAATACCTTTGTGCTATTGTAAAGCTCCATTGTCCATATTTTAGTGGGTCTACTCTGATCTTCCTCTGTTCCTCTTCCTTTCTGTTCTACTGACAAATATTTCTCTCCTTCTCCAAAATACACTATCTTTATTACAGTAACTTCATAAAGCTTTCAGAATTAGGTAACAAGAGCCTTCCAAGCTGTTGGCAAAATGGCAGTTTGAGAAACTCCAGGTCCTTTTGGCCCCCCACAGAAACATCAGGTTATAAACTGTAAACTAAAATAACTTTGTAGGAGCCCCAGAATACAGTCAATGAATTGTAACAATTAAGCAAATGCCCAATCAACAAGAAGTCACACTCGTAAAGACAAGCAAATCTGTGGCCCTGTGTCACTCCCTCCCTGGTGTGGCATCTTTGGGAGGAAGTAGCCAAATTTCTTGCATTTCTTCCTCAGAGAAATGGTTTGCAAATTTTTGCTCTGTCTGTGGCCTGCTTACAGAACCAGATTCTGTATCACCTAACTAAGAGATAAGATGAGGAAAGCAGCATAGATGTTTATATGGAGGGAATTAGAAAAAAGCACAGACACAGGCACAGGAAATATACATGCCCAGAGAAGACCTGAGAAACATAAATCCTTCACACTGGGCTTATAGTGAAGGTTTCACCTAACATAGAGTCATATTGCAAAAACTGGAAGAATGGCTGTTATTTCAAATGTCAAATTTTCAACAAAAATTGCAAAATGTAAAAAACAAGAAAAAATGGTCTATTTAAAGGACTGAAATAAATCTCTATGAATTGACCAAAATTTAGGACTTATTAGAAAAATACTTTATAACAACTGTTTATAGTAGGCTTAAATTTAAAGGACACAAAAAAGAAAGAGCATTACAAAAATCATATATAAAAGTGAATATGTCAACAGTGAGATATAAATTATAAAACAAAACAAAGCAGAAATTCTATAGCTGAGACGTAAAATAACTGAATTGAAAAGTTTAGTACAGAAGCTCAACATCAGACTCAAACCAGAAGAAGAAAGAATTAGTAAACTTGAAGGTAGAACATTGGAAGTTAGTAAATCTGAGGAGCAAAGCCAAATAAAATAATAATGAACAACGTGAACAGAGCCTAAGACATTTATGAGAGACCATCAAGCAGAACAATATGTGCATTATGGTAATCTTAAAAAAAGAAGTGAGAAAAATGGCATAGAGTATTTTTTAAATAATGATAAGAAATCCAAAATCTGATTTTAAAACATGGATATAAAAATACAAGAAGCTCCAAGTTAAAAAAAAAATCCAAAGGGACCCACTGCAAGATGCATAATAATCAAAGTTGCAAAAGCCAAATATAAAACAGAATCTTGTAAACATCTAGAGAAAAGTGACTAATCATGCACAAGGCATCTTTAATAAATTTATCAGATTATTTAGGTAAGCCTTCCAGTCTGGAAGGAGATATATCTGCAGTGTTAAAAGAAAGAAACAAACAAACCCTCTCTATCAAGTATTTAATCCAGGGCAAAGCTGTCCTTCAAAATGAGGAAGAAATTAAGACATTATCAGATAAATAAAAGCTGAGACAGTGCATTATCACGAGATCTGTGCTAAGAGAAATGCGGAAGGGAGTCTTTCACGTAGACATAAAAGGATGTATAGACAATAACTTAAAGCCCAACAAAATATAAAAATTTCTGTTAAGGATACATAAGTGAAAAACACACAAAAACTATTTTTTTTTGCATTTTGGTTTATAGCTATTTTTTATTCCTCTACAGGATTTAAAAAATTAAAAAAGAAAATTGAAACCTACATTAATAGTCAGAAAATATATTAATATGACATTTGTAAATCAATGACATGAAGAAAGAAAATTTGTGTACATGATTTAAATTAAAGTAGTATTAATTCAAAATAATTTTTCATATATGTAGGATATTATGGATAATCACCAAGGTAACCACGAAGGACATATCTATAGAATACACACAAAAGGAAATAAGAAGGGAATAAAAATGTGTCAATTAAAAAAAATCAACTAACCACAAAGGAAGGCATTAGAAAAAAGAGGAGGCACAAAATAGCTATAAGACATACAGAAAACAAATTATTTAAATGGCAATAATAAATCTTCCCTATCAATTATAAATTTAAACCATTATTTATTCAACTCTCTAACCAAAAGACAGACTGACACAATGGATTAAAAGCACTCTCAACTATATGGACACTTTAATATACTCATTTTGTATTTAAGAACACGCGAAGGTTGAAAGAGATAAGATGAAAAAAATATTGGTGCACACAGTAATGGAAAAAGCAAAGGAGTGGTGATATCAACGCCAAGTAGAGTTTAAATTGAAAACTGTTATAAGAGACAAATGGAAACATTATATAATGATAAAGTATAAATTCACAAGAAGATATATAACAATACTATCTATATATATGCACTAAATGTCAGGGATCCTAAACATATGAGATAGAATTGAAGAGAGAAACAGAAAGCTCTGCAATAATGGTCTGGAACATTTGGAAACTGCAGTACTACAACTTTCAATGATAAATAAGAAAACCAGAAATTTTAAACGGGAAGTAAAAGACTTAACACTAATAATTATACCCAACAGATGAAAATAGATCACTCCAGGCAAAAATACTATAGCAACATACCCTTTTTTTGTTATTTTTAATTTTTAATTTCGATGGGAACATAGTAGATGTATATATTTATGGGGGTACATGAGATATTTTGATATAGGCATGCAATGGTAATACTTACATCATGGAAAATAGGGTATTCATTCCCTCAAGCATTTATCCTTTCTGTTGCAATCCACTTATGTTAGTTTTAAAATGTGCAAGTAAGTTATTGTTGATGATAGTCACCCTGTTGTGCTATCAAATATCTTATTCATTCATTCTGATTATTATCTTGTACCAATTAACCATCCCAATTTTTATCCAACTCCCACTACCCTTCCCGGACTCTGGTAACCATCTTATACTCTATGTCTTCATGAGTCCAATTGTTTTGATTGTTAGATCCCACCAATAAGTGAGAACATGTGAAGTTTGTCTTTCTGTGCCTGGATTATATCACTTGACATAATGATATCCAGTTCCATCCATGTTGTTGCAAATGACTGAATCTTATTTTCTTAATGGCTGAATAGTAATAGACTATGTATATGAACCATATTTCCTTTATATCTAAGAACATGCAATAATTGAAAGCTGATGTTGGACACTTAGGTTGCTTTGAAATCTTGGCTACTGTGACCAATGCTGCAACAAACATGAGAGTGCAGATCTCTTTGATATATTGATTTCCTCTTTGGTGGGTATGTATACCCAGCAGTGAGATTGTTGAATCATATGGCAGCTGTACTTTTATGGTTATGAGTGATCTCCAAACTGTTCTTCATATTGATTGTACTAATTTACATTTCCAACAGCAGTGTATAAGGGTTCCTTTTGCTCCATGACCTCACAAGCATTTGTTATTGCTTGTCTTTTGGATATAAGCCATTTTAACTGAGATGACATGATATCTCATGGCAGTTTTCATTTGCATTTCTCTGATGATCAATGATGTTGAGTGCCTTTTATATGCCTGTTTGTCATTTGTATGTCTTCTTTAGAGAAATGTCTATTCAAATATTTTGCTCATTTTTAATTATTAGATTTTTTTTCTATAGAGTTGTTTGAGCTCCTTATCTATTCTGGTTATAAATCCCTTGTCAGCTGGGTAGTTTGAAAATATTTTCTCCCATTCCGTGGGAGAAAATGTTCATTAAAGCTCTGAAATGACCTCCTTTGACTCCATGTCTCACATCCAGGTCATTCTGATGCAAGAGATGGGTTTTCATGGTTTTAAGCAGCTCTGTCCCTGTGAATTTTTTTTTTTTTTTTGAGATGGAGTCTCACTCTGTTGCCCAGGCTGGAGTGCAATGGTGCAATCTCGGCTCACTGCAACCTCCGCCTCTCAGGTTCAAGCGATTCTCCTGCCTTATCCTCCCAAGTAGCTGGGACTACAGGTGCCCACCACCACACCTGGCTAATTTTTGTATTTTTAGTAGAGGTGGAGTTTCACCATATTGACCAGGCTGGTCTCGAACTCCTGACCTTGTGATCTGCCCGCCTCAGCCTCCCAAAGTGCTGGGATTACAGGCATGAGCCACCATGCCTGGCCTGTCCCTGTGGATTTTTTAGGGTACAGCCCCCCTCTTGGCTGCTTTCATGGGCTGAAGTTGAGTGTCCACAGCTTTTCTGGGTACACTATGCAAGCTTTTGGTGGATCTACCATTCTAGGGTCTTGAGGATGGTGGCCTTCTTCTCACAGCTCCCCAGTGGGGACTCTGTATCAGGGCTCCAACCCTACATTTCTCTTCTGCACTGCCCTAGCAAAGGTTTTCCATGAGGGCTCCACTCCTGCAGCAAATTTCTTCCTGGACATCCACTGAAATCTAGGTGGCAGTTCCCAAAGCTCAATTCTTGACTTCTTGTGCACCTGCAGGCCCACCACCAAGTGGAAGCCACCAAGGCTTTGTGCTTGTACCCTCTGTAGCAATGGACTGAGCTGTACATTGACCTCTTTTATCCATGGCTGATGGCTGAGATTGCAGGGCACCAAGTCGTGAAACTGCACAAAGTAGCAAGGCCCTGGGTCCAGCACATAAAACTATTTTTTTTAAATCTCTGGGTCTGTGATGGGAGGGACTTCTGTGAAGACTTCTGACATGCCCTGAAGAAATTTTCCCCATTGTCTTGGTGACTAACTTTTGGCTTCTCATTAATTATGAAAATTTTAGCAGCTGGCTTGAATTTAGCCTTCAAAAAATAAGATTTTCTTTTCTTTCACATTATCAGACTGCAAATTTTCAAACTTTTATGCTCTGCTTCACTTTTAAACATAAGTTCCAATTCTAAACCATCTCTTTGTGAATGCATATAACTGAATGCTTTTAAGAACACCCAAGTCATATCGTAAATGCTTTGCTGCTTAGAAATTTCTTCTGCAAGACACCCTATATCATCTTTCTCAAGTTCAAAGTTCCACAGATCTCTAGGGCAGGGGCGAAATGCCACCAGTCTCTTTGTAAAAGCACAGCAAGAGTCACCTTTATTCCAGTCCCCAATAAGTCCCTCATCTCTATCTGAGACCACCTCAGCCAGGACTTCATTGTACATATCACTATTAGTATTTTAGTCAAAGCCACTCAACAAGTCTCTGGCAAGTTCCAAACTTTTCCACATTTTTCAGTCTTTTTCTGAGGTGTCCAAACTGTTCCAACCCCTGCCTATTACTCAGTTCCAAAGTTGGTTCCACATGTTCAGGTATGTTTATAGCAGCACCCCATTCTCTCTGGTACCGATGTACTGTATTAGTTCATTTTCATACTGCTATAAAGAACTTCCAAATGCTGGGTAATTTATAAAGGAAAGAAGTTTAATTTACTTACAGTTTAGCATGGCTGGGAAGACCTCAGGAAACTTACAATAATGGCAGAAGTTAAAGGGGAAGCAAAGCACCTTCTTCACAAGGCAGCAGGAAGAAGAAGTGCCAAGCAAAGGGGGAAGAGTCTCTTATAAAACCATCAAATATCATGTGAACTCACTCACTGTCATGAGAACAGAATGGGAGAACCCCCTCTTTCCCCATGGTTTATCTACCTCCACCTAGTCTCTCCCTCAACTCATGGGAATTATGGGAATTGCAATTCAAGATAAGCTTTGGCTGGGGATACAAAGCCTAAGTATATTACCCTCCCTGCATATTAATAAATTTGTATGACATTTATTTAACTTTCATCAGCTGATATTCAACAAACTTTCAGAGGTAAAATGTGAAATTATTTCTTTGTCTCTACAATTTCTTAGTAATACTTATTTAAAATGTTGTTTCTGATTACTTCTTATTTATGTTGTACCTGAGCCTTTGTCTCTTCATTGATTCTGACAAAAGTGTGTTCTTTGCTTTATTTAAAGTCTTACAATTTTTGTTAAAATCTGTGTATCTTATTTAGGATAATAGAAGCTGCAGTAAACAATATTTATGTAAAATGGACACTTTTTGTCTTCAACTAAGCCTTCCTGGGTTTGAGTCCATCTACTTAAGAATTGAGCTCTGGGTTTTTGGTTTTGGTTACTGATATGTTTACTGTCACTGCATCAGAAGCTTTAAATTCCTCTAATGTTTATTTGTTTTAGGTTAAGCTACTCAGGAGGTTGAGGCAGGAGAATTGCTTGAAGTGGGAGGCAGAGGTTGCGGTGAGCCAAGATCTCGCCATTGCACTCCAGCCTGGGCAACAAGAGCGAAACTCTGTCTCATTAAAAAAAAAAAAAAGAATATGTATGTTTTCCAGAGGATATTATTCAATGTCTGTTCTCCCCGTAGTTACAAGTATTTCCTTTGCAACTACACCTCAGAGAATGCCTCTCTTCCCATGCAGTAGATTCCCCAAACCTTCCAAAGCAGCAAATTGTTGGAATTTTTTTTTTTTTTTTTTTTTTTTTTACGTAATACTGTTAGCCTTGAAGTGTGAACCAAAATGACATCAAGTGTTTGACTGAAGGACTGGGAACAAGTTGAAAATTCTGAGAAAGCTTCCTTCATGTTGCAAAGCTGCTTGAAAGAAAGAGTAATTGTTGCATAAAAGGTACGGAATTCTTACTATTGTCATTCTGCCTCAGTATTAGGCAGCCTTGTGTCCTTGAATCTCATGGTTTGAGCCTCCGTAGTGATTCTACAGAAGACCTCTAACGGTCAGGGTCTGAGTGTAACTCTGTTTCTCCTCCACAAGTAGAGAAGTTTTGTTGTTGTTGCTTTCCACAAGCTACAATGAGTCTTCAGCTGTGTTCTAACAAAAAAAATTATGCGTTCTTTTTTGCCCAATAGTTTAAGACTTTTGTTTCATAATGGATATTGTGGTGAAGGACCTAGGTGGAACTAAGTAACTTTTATGCAACTGTCGACAAAGATTTAAACTCTGTAAAATATTTGAAGAGATTTATTCTGAGCCAGCTATGAGTGACCTTGGCCCATGGCATAGCCTTCAGGAGAGTCTGAGAACATGTGCCTAAGGTGGTCAGGGCACAGCTTGGTTTTATACATTTTAGGGAGACAGGAGATTTCAGTCAAATACATTTAAGATATACATTGCTCTGGTTCAGAAAAGTGTGGCAACTTGAAACAGGGGCTTCCAGTTTATAGGTAGATTTAAAAATTTTCTGATTGGCAATTGGTTGAAAAAGTTATTAACCAATAGAAAGGGATGCGTGGGTTATGAAAAAAGGTTGTGAAGACCAAGTTTTATCCTGCAGATGAAGGCTTCAAATTTCAGAGAAAGTAGATTATAAATGTTACTTATCAGACTTAAAGTCTGTGTTGATGTTAATGCTGGAAGGCGTATGATGAGTCATGTCCAACTGCCACTTCCCATCATAGCCTGAACCAGTCTTTCAGGTTAAATTTTAGAGTTCCCTGGCCAATGAGGAAGTCCATTCAGAATGTTGGGGGACCTTATAATTTTATTTTTGTTTACATCCCTCCTTCTGGCCAAGATTTGCCAGAGGCAACATCAGTGGCCACCAAATCTTTATTTTGTCTCATAGCATTGCTGGGGTGGCATGGCTGCTTCCCATGGGTCCATCCTATTCCTTGGTAGGACTCCCTATGGCCAAGGGACTTAGTCAACAAGACTTACAGCTAATTAATTGTTCTAGGCCAGATAGGAATAGAAGTAGATAAACATTCATTACCCCTTGAAATTATTATTACTATTTTAAGTAGAAAACTAACAAACAGAAAGTAAAAAGCATGGTTACAAAATTGACTTATCTTTAACTTCTGTGTGTTGAGATACTGTAAGCTTACTTTTAATTACAGGCTTATAGCAACTAGTTATACAAAACATAAACATTATTCCAAAAAACTATATATGGTATTTAAAACTCATAACTTAGAGGCCTTTTCACAAGGTATCTTTATTCTGTCAGGAAATATTTTAATTCTATAAAAAGCAGAAAATTCTTTATGATTGGGGTGGATGCAATGACGACACATAATAGAGTAGAAGGCAAAGTCCTTTGTTTTACCAATTGTTTAGGCATCATTGTATCCATCCTTCATTTGAAGTGGCTGAGCTTGACATAATTCTGTCCCTCAAAACCGGCCTTTACAATATCACATACCCACCTCTTCTGCAACAGTTCCTGGGCCAAGAGGGAGGGAGTTTATAGTTTTAGCAGCAGGAAATTTGCAGATTGGTCCCAGTGGGATGTCAAATGAGGGAGATTCTCATTTTGGCTTTTCAGAATACCATGATTTTGGTTTCCTTGGAAGTAATAGTAGGAGACATAAAGAGCATTATTATTTTGACAATTGAGAGTATTTGTTTGTTAGAACAGAAAAAGGAATATATTTCATTACAGTACCAATGAAAAATATGAAGAAAAATTGTAACCTAGTACTCTGTAGGGGTATTCACATAACGTGCAGCATGAATCAACTGGCTATGTAGGTTTCTTTTAAGTCAGCTTTGCTGGAACTTTACCTAAATATATGTTATTTGAGTCAAAGTATTGGGAAATAACCAGTGTCTCCAATTGTTCTGTTTTAAAAGACTGTTACTAAACTTATGCAAATAACTATATGATCACAAAATCACAATCTGAATTTCAGAACTCAGAAAGAAAGGCCAATTTACTCACAAAAAACATACTTCACCGTAAATAACTGAAAAGAAAAATATTCTCTTGACCTTTAATCAGAGCAGCAGTCTTCCACATAAGACATTTTTTAACCCTGGAACTGCCACTCACATGCTAAGCAGCTCCTGTTAGATGAGAGCTACTTACCAAGTGCTCCTTACACTGTTAGAGTCAATGTTAAGGGAAAAAGGAGGCTCCCTACTATTTAGTATCTCCTCTTTTTATCTCCAGGTAGCAAGATCCTATGTAAACCATTATCATGGAACTCTTTTGGGCATTATTATTTCCATTAGCATAGGGGTAGCTTCAGTTCATATTCCATAGCAAGACAGTAAATGAACCTCAAGTAAAAATTTGCTAGTCCAGTAGTTATCATTGGGAAGTATTCACAGTCTTTTGCCATTAGCCCCGATAAATGCTCCACAAAGGGCTATGAAGCAGAGGATTTGTCCTGACTAGCACTCCAGTTTCTACCCTATATTCTGTGGGCTCAGGGAGTCTTCCTATTAATAGTTCCCAGTTAATGTGTCCAATTAAGATTTTTCAAAGGCCAGATTTACATGCCTTCAGTTTTATAGTACTAGAGAGGGAAAATATCCCCTAGTCAGAAACAATACCCATTTTCAAAGACATTTAGGTAAAGAAGACACATCTATCTTACATAAAGTCTGTTTAAACATCTCAAATTTCATAATTCTTTTAAATTGCTTTTTTTTTTTTTTTTTTTTTTTTGGTTCCAGGCCCTTTTCTTTTCTACCCCCAGACAATTTTACATTTTCTGGTGAAAAAGGAGCAGGGAGTTGAACCAAGGGACTTAGGTTCTTTAGTCAATTTTGATTTTAATTTGCCCCAGCATTACCCCATGCAATGTCAGCTTCCTGATGACAGCCTTTGCCTTGTGATTTTTTTTTTTTAATTTTCCAGTCTGGGGCAAATAGTAACAATCCAAACATATCAATCACCCTTCTGGGGCAAGTTATTTGACTCCCATTTTCCTTTTCCAATGTTTTAAGCATCTGTGAGACACATGAGGGACAGCAAATTTGATAAGGCTTCTCAAACAATTACATGATTCTGCAGGAGGGGCACCCATGTAAAAGGGGCCCCGATAGCCCCCAGATTTCTCATGATATGGGTAATAGGCATATTCGGTGAGAGAATATTCTGGTCATTATAAAACCAATCCCATGTGGCTTACACATGACACATATCAACTGCTTCATCTGGGGTGCTCCACTTAGTATTTTATAGGAAGAGCCAGGCAGTCCCCTTTTCAGGGCAAACAGACCTCACAGTGTTGTTTCTCTGGTCCATTAGGCTAGTTGTTCTCTCAGGAATAAACTCCTGTATATTTGAATCACATATATTCAGTAATTGTTCAATAGTGAGCTGTGAGTCCTGCATCAACCCAAACAAGCTCTTTTATTCTGTTGCATTTAAAATTAAGGATTTTGTCTCTAAAGTATTAAAAGTAATGGCAAAATACTGAAGTTGCTTTTGCACCAACCTGTTATTTTTAAAATCCATTGTAGTAGTAATTTCTAAACAAGCTAACAATACAAATCTACAAATGGAACAATTGATTTACATTATACTCTCTGGTTTTTAGTAGTTATGTGGTTTTGCCCTCCCCTAACATTGAGTATCTTCTTGGTAACCACAAGCCTCAGAAGTAACTTTTGTTGCCCTGGCTTAATTATTCTTTTTATCCATTTCGTTGTACCTGTATAACTTTTTATTCATTTTAAAGCCTTTCTTAAATAGTTTCTTAAGTAGAAAAAAATTGTTTTTTAAATGTATATCCTTGTGTTTCATAAACTTCACCAAAAACACCTTTTACACTCCTACTATTTTAACTCTTAGTACTCCAAATTCCCAGTGGAAAAAAAAAGTTTACTTAACATAACATTACTTTAAGATTTTAAATTATTGGAGAGATCTTTAAGATTAAATTTACTGAATTAACCTTACCAAAGATTACCAAAGTCATGTGAATTAAAAGTCATCTGGTACAAGTTATCACACTTGTACCACTGTGATAAGCACTTACTTTTTTTTCAAGTCAGTTGATTACCTCATTCATACAGTTTGGTAATGAAACATCACTTCCACATGACACTTATAAACATTTAGATATTACAGGCATGCAGAGTAAAAAAGCAAATCCAAAAATTTTTCATTTGCCTGTTTTCAGAAAGAAATTAACTCCCTTACTTAAGATAATTAGTTTTAAAAGTTAAAGGAGCCAACAAAGGTAAAGGAGAGAGTTACCATACAAGGGAGACAGCAAAGTATAAAGGGATCACCTCCGACTGGCCTGTGCTTTGGGAAAATGGGGTGGACCCACAGAAGTTTGCTCCATTTACAGGAGGGAGGAGGTTGGCCTTTCCTGATCTGGGATGGTAACCTGGGATTCAATCTGTGAGGTGGGAAGTCTACTAACTAACAGGACTCTCATTTTGCTGAGAGTCACTGTTTCCCATTTTTTTCCTTTTCACCCAATAAACCCTGGCCTTCTCACCCTTCAAAGTGCCTGTGATCCTAAGCTTTCATGGTCTTGTGAAAAGGACCCAAGTTTAGCTGAACTAAGAGAAAGTTCTCAATATTTTGAAATGCAATGTGGGTCTCGAGAAAGGCTGAGTGAGGTGCAAACCAAAAAACCTTTTTCTCTTTTGTTTCTAAGCCTCTATTCCCTTGGACTTCTGAGAGTAGAGGAAACTGTGCCTGCCTTTCTATGGCTTTTTCCTTCCTTTTTCAGGATGGGCAGGTGAGTGGGAGCTCACCGCTCCCCTCCTGATATGGTTTGGCTGTGTCCCCACCCAAATATCATCTTGAATTCCCCACATGTTGTGAGAGGAACCTGGTGGAAGGTAATTGAATCATGGGGATAGGTCTTTCCTGTGCTCTTCTCATGATAGTGAATACGTCTCATGAGATATGATGGTCTTAAAAATGGGAGTTTCCCTGCACAAGTCCTCTTCTCTTGTCTGCCACCATGTGAGATGTGCCTTTCACCTTCCATCATGATTTTGAGGTCTCCCCAGCCATGTGGAATTGTGAGTGCATTAAACCTCTTTCTTTTGTAAATTGCCCAGTCTCAGGTATGTCTTTATCAGTAGTGTGAGAAAAGACTAATACACCTCCCCTCCCTGTGGGGGCTGGGACACATGGCCCCAGAGCTTCATGTGGCTGCCTGCCCAGACTCTCACTCAGTCCAAGCCAGGGGAAAGGAACCCTGTTGCATAAGAATAAGAGGTTCTTCCCTAGGCATTTTTAAACTGTTTTTTCCTTTCCTTTTCTCCAGCAGTTCAGGAGTTAACTTTTAAGAGAGGATTTTTTTCCTTTTGGACGACATTTTGCTGGAGTGGGAAATGAATATCACTGTTTATATTTCCTGTAGAGTTTTAATTGAGAGAAAGAATTTGTGAGGTTAGTCTTAAGCTGTAGCCAACCTGGTGTGCTTTGTGCATCTTTCTGTATGGTCCATAGTAAACTTTGCTGCAGACCTCCCTCTTGTTTTACATCCTTGGGGCATGGCCTGCAACCTCTTGGCAAGGCTTTGTTTAGCCATGTGGCCCAGATTCATCCTGCCTTAGGGAATGAGTTCTTTCTGGTTTGATACCTGCGTGACCTTTTGCTATTTGTCGATTCCCCTTCCTTCCATGTACCACCTTGGATTTTCCTTTCTCCAAGCCTTTAGTAAAGTCTGAAAGCCAGAAATATTGGCTTTTTGGCATGGCTAAAGTGAGGTAATAGGAAATTTTAAAAGAACCTTATTAAAGAGTGCTATGGTTAAAAGTCAGCTTAATTAAAAGCAGATATTCAAACTCTAACAGGCTGGGACTCCATGGGAAAAACAGGAGGCACCAGAGAACCCATTTTGGAAAAACTGTTTTCCTCATGAAACACCAGGAATTAGAAATGGATAAATACCTCTAAAAATTAAGGTTCTGTTCTGTTTTACATTGTGTTATCTGACATTTTTTACTTTTGGGGTACCAGAAATTACTTTGTAGTATGAGAAACTCAAAAACTGACAAATGAAAAATCTTACAACTACTGAATCTTCTTCTGTCTGTCTTTGTAGCTATATATGTGTTGTGTGTGATGTCTACTTAAAAAGCTCTAATTAATTGGCCTAAAGAAAGATAAGCACTTGGGTCAAATGTTTTTTTAAAGGGAAGATAAAAGTCATAGTACATTTCATTTCATGTGACTCTAATCTTTGAGAAATAAAAACAGTTTTAAAAATTATTGGTAAAATGAAGATGTCATCAAAATGTTAATAAGTAGACTAAATTATAGAGGTCAGATAAAAGGTTTGCTAAGTGTTTTGAGGTTATAAACTGCTTTTTGGTTTCAGAGAGCTGTTCAACTTTGTATGGCCTGGGGACATACGGAACTAACCACACTTTTAATTATGCTGGAAGGAGTCAAACCTTGGCTGCACCTAGCACATAAATGACACAACTTACCAGGTTTTACACTAAAGTTAAAATTGCTAGGAATTATTGTTATAATATCTAATTGAAACAACAGAAAATAGATTTACATGCAAGGTGTGTAAGAACAGTAAAATGTGTTTTTAATGAAAGATTATAAGTAAGCATGAAAATATAAATTCTTGCCTAGGGTTAAAGGATGGTTTTGAATTAGATAAGATAAAGCTAAAATTTTAAACAAGTGGTAAAAATATTGTAAAAATTAATCTTGCAAAATTCCTTGTCTGAACATATTGACTAAATTCAAAAGGGTATTATGTGTATTTTTCTGTAAATTGAGCATTGAAATAAAAGCACACAGTACTCTTAAGGCAGTAATCTGCTTTTTAGCAAAATTTGTAAAGCGTTGTAAAAGATTTTTTGCTTTTCAAATTTCTGAGTCATCATTTTGGCAAAATAAATTACTTGTGGTAATCTGGAGTTCTATATCATAATATCAAGTGCTTTAAACCTTTAATGTATGTAACAGTCTTTCCAAAATCAAACTTCAGTTTCTAAATGGTCTTTCCTGATGCCTGGCTTTTTGGATGATTCCGTGGGCCCCTGGAACATCCAGAAGAGAGGTAAACAGGATTATTTGACATATTTAAGTACATAGGATTGCCAAAATGATGTTCAATCTTCTTTAGGTAATATTTTGGTGAATAATGCTAATATATGTCCAAAAATTGTACGGGATTTCTAAAATTCTAATGTCTAAGCATATGCTATCAATTATAATTGAGGTTGTTATATTAAGTTATTGTAAACCATGGAGATAACCAACTTTTTTGTGAATTGTGTTTCTAACTGTAACTATCACGGACATTTTGTTATTAACAGACAATTGTTGTCTTGTTTTAATCCTTTCAAATGATGGTTTATAATAAGCTATAAAACTTTGACAGGTGCTCTCAAATACTGGTTTCAGATAACTTTGGAGATTGTGACATTGGAATAAAGAAAAATGTACAGGACTTGGGAAGAGCTAAAATGTTCATGAATATCAAGCTAAGCAAGAGTTAACTAAATGGACTGAACTCAGAAAGTTGAAGCAATCTTTTTAACTTTTGCTTAGAATATTGCAGATCCTTGTTTTGTTTTTCAGAGTCAAGGAAACTTATTTTGAACTATCTATAGCCTTTAATAATTGAGTAAGGTACATTCCTGTGAACAAAATCTGGAGATATTATTTCTCTCTTCCTGGTTCCTCTAGAATTTGGAAACTATCTGTGAGTATTCTTAACTTACGGCAATATAGTTGTTTGCATCAGTGCAATAAGAATCCATTTTCTTTTTCAACAGAATGCAATTGGAGAAACTGGTTGTTTTACCAAGGCTTTGTGTAGAAGGGTATGTTTCCCTTTAAGGAGAGTCAAGCTCAACTTGCAGAGAGAATAAAATGCCCATGGGAAAAACTAGCCTTATAACTTTGTCTATGCAGTCCTTGTACAGGGTTCCTGCTCTGTGGTCAGTAAAGAATGTCACTTTCTAACAGGCTCAGGAACTCCAAGTTTATCTTGGGACCTTAAGAAGAGAGGATCACCCAACTCACAGGTATTTGAGGATAGAAACCCATGGCTAGGCTGGGCTTTAAAAAGTCTTTTCTGAGACTCCTTGTGTAACAGAGTTCCATCAAAGTCAATCCAAAAGGCCTATGTAGAAATAATTATTCTTGCTGCAGTTTATGCAAATAATCAGGCCAAGTATAAGACTAAAGTCTATTTTGCAAACCATTCAGTCTTATGATAATTTGTTTTTTAACAAAAATGAGGACTGTAGAGACAAATTATGTTTCAAAAGTTATCATGCATTTGCCATTAAATTATAAACTCATTAGTTGTTTTAAAGTTTTTGCCTACATTTTAGACTAACCTTGCTTGTTCCTGTGAACCAACCAGCAATCTCCACTGCCCCTCAGAAAGAACAACAGGGATGGATATTGTAGAAATCTGGATCAATATTCTAGTTCTGAGCAGTTATTCTGCAAATCCTGCCAGGTGGTACCCAACACCTGGAGATTTCCTCTGTGGGAAAGTAAGACCAAAGGAGCTAACCAAAGCCAAGCACCATGCACCAAAATCCTAGCAAGCATAACTATAGCCAGCAGTTATCTGGGCATGTTACAAGACATCAATTTCTCTCTTTTGTTGGAAGAGGACTCAATTCTACAGCTTCACCTTACCATTTGGCTTATGATAAGGAGAAAAATGCATCTCCCCACCCCCACCCTGAGACACATTTTTGTCCCAAACTTAATTCCAAGTTTCAGGTCAAAGCCCTAGGAAAGAAAACTGGATCTGAGTGATCGAGAGGCAGATGATAACAGGTTAAAAGGCACAGCACAGGTAAGCATGATGGATTTCTGCCAATTAAGCCAGGCTTCCTGTTTTATGGATAAAGGCCACTCTAGTATCCATGGCATAAATTAGGTCTAGGGAACTCCAAGGCTACTGAGAGTATGGGGAATAGAGGCATAGGTCAAAGCAAATAATTCCTATTCTCTAGGCCCTTCTTGCTTCATGGGTACAAGCTGCTTTGGCACCCATGGGCAATCTGTGCCAAGATCACTGGGACTCAGGTATGCAAGGATGGAAGAGGGAAATGGGATGCTCTTCCTTCTCTCCTTCACATATTCCAGGTATTTGCTAGGAAGAGAAGGGAACCTTGGATGCCTGCTCCTCTTTTTCTAGATGAGTAGCCATTCATCTTCAGTCTGTACACCTTTCAAATGCATCTTGAACCCCTGGGACTCCTTCAAAAAACAGCTTCTTTTTTTATTTTTTCTTTCTCTGTCCTCTCTTCATTGATAGGCAATTATGTCTCCATACTACAGGACACTCCACTCAAATGCATCCTCCAAACTAGGAAAAGTTAATTTCCCAAACCTTAAACTAGTTGGCTTAGGATTGGGCTCAGGGAAAGGGAACCCAGAAGCCCAGTATGCCGGCAAAAGGGTAAAGTTTTTTTTTTTTTTTTTTTTGCCAGTCGGGCTTTTGGCCTCCCTCTCCCTGTGCAAACTGGTATAAGGCCTCAGGATTTTTGACCTGTCCTATCCACCCCACCCCTTTCTCATTTTGATACATTTTTTCTAATAACCGTTTGTCTCTTCTCACCTTCAGGCCATCAAACTCCAAACGGTCATGCAATCAGAGCCTCGGAAGATGGCCCCTTCTGCTGCAAACACTTAGATAGGCCTCTGAGGAAGATCTGACTGCCATTCTCCCCAAACCAGTGCACCCTGTCATCAGGAAGCAGTGAAGATTGGTCTTCATACTTATCCTTATCCTTATCCTTATCCTTATCCTTATCCTTATCCTCATCTTAATGGCAATTAGATGTACTTCTTTAGAGGAGAAAATGAGACAGCCAAGTATAAAGGGGACATGGGAGAACCTCTAACTGGCCTGTGCAATAGGAGAACATGATTGAGTCATGGAAGTACACACAGTTTGCAGTGTGGAGTAGCCTGGCCTTTCCTAATTTGGGGTGGTAAATGGAAATTCAATCTGTGAGGCAGGAAGCCTATTAGCAGAACTCTCACTTTACTGGAAGTCACTGTTTCTTTTTTTTATTTTGCTTTTCACCCAATAGACCCTGCCTTTCTTACCCTTCAAAGTGTATGTGAGCCTAATCTTTCATGGTTGTATGACAAGGAACATGTTTTTAGCTGAACTAAGAAGAAAGCCCTAGAACACAAGGACTTTTCAAAAGAAAAAGAGATGAATTCCTGAGATATCGATCTGAAGAATTTCAAAGAGACAGACTATAGAATTTAAAAATTAAAAACTTATTCCATTAATAAGTCTATATTTTTAATAAAAACTTGTTTTAACCATGTCTTTAGTTTTGTATTAGTGTATTTTTTAATATCAAAGTTTAATTTTAGAAAAACTATTATAGTTTCCTTTAATTAAAGCCTATTAATCACATAACATTTTTACAAATTCCTTTTTTTACTAACCTTATTACAACTTAGACCATTCACAATGTGCTTGGACTTTCTGATTTGTCCTAAATATTTTTCTTGAACAAATCAGCCATTTAATTTTATGACAAAAATTCACCATAAAAGATTCTTTCTCATATAAAATTACTTTTCTTATTGCCTTCCTTACTGAAAACATCTCTTTATAACTCTCTGTACATTTCTTATTTTCTGGTTCCTTTTACCTTGTTTTGTACATAACCTTTAAAAAAGCTTTGAATTAGCCAAAAATATTTACCTTTTAATAAGAACATATTTTTAAAAATGTTTTTCTGTAATTTTTAAATTGTAAATTACCCATCTATTATTTACTATAACCTTAGATTATAAATTATATGAAAAGTTTGTTTGCAAGCATTTATTACATTTACCTGATTAATTTACTTAACAGTTTACCTAGATTATTCATAAAAACTGTGATATTCATCATTCACAGTTATTTTTCTGTTAACAATTTCTATAACCTATGAATTTCAGGTGTTTACCAAAATAAGAAACATAAAATTAAATACATGGATTTAGCTGTTTTCATCAAACTAACAATATAAATGTCTCATTTATCAAAAACTACACAAAGATTATTCTGTTTCAGGCTTGGTTTATAGTTTTATAAACCTTACGTCCAGTTTTGAAACCTTACAGTATTCTGCAGGAATAAGTATGAAACAGCTTGATCAATAAATGCAAACAAAAATACTAACAATTCTTAAAATTTTTGAATATTTTACCAATAATTTATACCCAGTTCATTTATTAAAGATTTTACTTATATCACCTGAACTTAGAAAAGCATTTGACTTTGCCTTTTTTTTTTCTGATAAAGTATTTGATTTAAGTGCTTTTACTTTTCATTAGGCCAATTAATTAGAGCTTTTTAAATATATTTTCAGTAATGAAACATTATGTACATAACACATACACACATAAACATGACACATAACACAGACATATTAGGCATAGGTCTAATAGATATATGTAGATATGTCTACATATACGTAGAAGTAAATCTTATAAATTAATAAGAGCTACGTTTCCTGTTTTAGATTTCCAAATTCTTGATAACCTGTTTCATTATCCTAGGCAGTTGTCAGCTAAATGGCCCTAAATTTACATATTAAGGGTAACGATTCTGTGATGAAAAAATCAGATAGCAAAATTTACATCTCAAAGTACAGAGACAAAAAATCCAGTGTGCTCGAGGAAAATTAAAATAAATTTAATTGCCAAGTTAAACATAAAATTATATAATTCTATCATAGAATTGTGTAAGAAAACCAATTTTATTTAATAGGTAGTTCTAATTTTACTCTGCATCTTTTAACTCAATCTTTGAGCTCTGAGCAGAATCTACACTGTATCCTGGGTCTCCATGAGAGAATTATTATGAGGTTAGACCATGTTTTTACAGTGCACCTTTTTTTTCTTTTTTACAAAGACATTTCTGTAAGTGTCTAAATGACACTCTTTCTTATTTTAAACATACAAGAGTAGCCTCTGTTGTAATAACTATTTTAGTTGGAAAAAAATCAGGTAACACAATACAAGCAAGCAGCTTAAGATCTGAAGTGAAATTTGCCTGTTTACACTCTTGGAGTTCCATAAGGAAAAAACAGAGGTTTTGTTACAGGTATTCAGACACACATGAGTGAGACAGGAGAGGGCTCTCCCCCACCCATTAGGAATGTTAGGTGATGGTTTGGTAATTATCAATTATCACGTAGCCTCTCTAAAAGTGATAAATTGGCTGCTGGCACCAGGGACAGACCATTTTTTGATGGTCCACACTTGTTGCATTACAGTGTTAATTGAATGCAGGTACCAGGGAGAAGCAACTTCCTAGACATGGGCATTAAGAGACAAAATGGTGGAGTATTACTTTCCAGGGGCACTCCACCAGAAAAGGGAAGAAAGCCTCATATGGGCATGTGTACAACTTCCTAAACCTACTGCACATGTTCTCTTCCCAAGGATAAGGAAGACACTGTGCGTGTGGGCAGCCCATGCTGAGGGAAGGATCATGGGAAACGGGTGCAAGATGCCAGAGGTGGGGCAGCCTATAAAGTCCTAGGATCAAGGTTAAACACTGCACTTGTTCTTCAAATCACCTGCTTGGGTCTCTTTCAACAGTCTTTTTCTTTTTTTTCTGTTCTAAAGTCTTTTTAAATAAGCTTCCACTTCTGCTCTGAAACTTGCCTCAGTCTCTTTTTTTGCTTTATGCCCTTCAGCCAAATTCTTTCTTCTGAGGAGACAAGAATTGAGGTTGCTGCAGACCTGTACAGATTTGCTGCCAGTAACTTGGATACCTTTTACCAGTAACATATTTTGTCCTGTGAGACTCGGATATTTGCCACCGGTAACAGTTTCTCCCCAAAAAGGAGTCTGACACCTTCTCTGTTTTCTATAAGGAATCCCAGGATGTTAGAAACTATTTAAGAAAAACTTTGTCCAGGAGAATAAGGTTATAATAGAGAAAACAACAACAACAAACAGAAACAAAGAAGGCCATTTAAATACACACACACACACACACACACCCAAACACAACTTTTACTTCAGAACTTTGGATATGACATAATACAAATTCTTTGGCTTGCAAAGAAAACAAAAACAAAAAACACTTGGATTCAAACAGTATCTTTTATCTCAGTAGAAAAGTAACAGCAGATGTAAAGCAGGCAGAAAAGAAAATAGAGGAAAAGAGCACTTGGGAACTCAATAATTTGCAGGTCAACCTTAGGACTCTTTATTCTTGATGTAAATGTGTGCAAAAAGACAATAATATGCCAATTTTACACAAAAATTTGCAAGTAGAGGCACCATCAAACCAATGGAGTGCCCAATAGGGGGTCATTCTCCTTGTTTTTTCCTCATTCTTAGATTATTTGTTTCCCAATTTTTTTTTCCTCAAAAGGAAAAACTGAGCTGTGGTCTAGGGCTTTAGTGTAGTTAGTCAAAGTGTGCTGGTTGTGAGCAGGATGCCACAGCGTGTCACCTCTGGGTCATCTTTGCCCTCTTAGGTGTGTCAGTTTCTGTTTCTAAAGATCTAGCACCTCCAGAAGGGCTGAAAGTGTGGAGTGACCAGCTCTTACATGCATTTGTTGGACAAGCCTTTTTAAACTAATTTTTTGGGGGTTCTCTGTAGGGCCACTGCACATAATGGGGAGTTGCCTTTTGGTTGGGAGAAGTAAAATGCCCTTTCTCTTCTGAGCTGTGAAAACATTCTCTAATTTATCTAAGAAAACAACAGTTCAATTTCTCACACAAATGCAGACAAGCCAAATGGAGATTAATTCTGGGAGAAAAAAGCAATGAAGAAGACCCTTTAAAATGTATCTCTAAACTAGACTTAGGTTGCTAAACAACAATTTCTTAGGAGAAAAAAAAAAACAGCTCAAAATAAATCTAGGACCATCAACCAAAGGGAGGTCCAAGGCTCAGGAGGACTTACCAGTTCCACTAAAGGAGAAGCTCAAAGCCAGAGAGGCTTTCAATGGCACCTTGATGATATCTTAGCTCTGAGTTTAGGCAACTCTTTCTGGGTCCTGAGTCTTCTCTGAGACCCCACATGTTTGGGTGCCAGATTATTATTGATGAAAAGAGTAAAGCTCTGTAAAATATTTGAAGAGATTTATTCTGAGTCCAATATGAGGGACCATGGCCCATGACACAGCCCTCAAGAGAAGCTGAGAACATGTGCCCAAGGTGGTCGGGGCACAGCTTGGTTTTATACATTTTAGGGAGACACAAGACATTCATCAAATACATTTAAGATATACATTGGTCTGGTCCAGAAAGGCGGGACAACTTGAAGCAGGGACTTTCAGTTTATACGGAGCTTTAAAATTTTTCTGATTGGCAATTTGTTGAAACAGTTATCGATAGAAAGGAATGTCTGGTTTATAATAAAAGGTCATGGAGACTCAAGTTTTATCATTCAGATGAAGCCTCCAGGTACCAGACTTCAGAGAGAATTGATTATAAACGTTTCTTATCAGTCTTAAAGTCTGTGTTGATGTTAATGCTGGAGGAGTATAATGTGGCCTGTCCAACCCTCACTTCCCATCATGGCCTAAACCAGTCTTTCAGGTTAAATTTTAGAATGTCCTGGCTGAGGAGGAATTACATTCAGATGGTTGGGGGACCTTAGAATTTTATTTTTGTTTTACACTACAATTACTCTTGCATTCAAGCAGCTCTGCAACAAGAAGGAAGCTTTCTTAGAACTTTTCAATTTGTCCCAACTCCTTCAATCAAACACTTGAAGACCAAAATGAACAGTTTGTAAGTGACTGCAAATTATTATTTTATCTACAACTCTCCGAGATTATATTGTACAGGTGAATATAATTCTCTTATCCCCCAAAGGTACAATAACTTGAATCTATAAATCACAGTTATAATGGAAAAAAAACTTAAATGGCTTACATATTTATTAATGTTCAAAAGGGAATGGGAGTCATATACAAAGTATTAGGTCCAAAGCAGTGGGCAGACGGTTTAAGTTTTTATAGCATCCTGAGGTTCCAGAAAGAATAGAGGCTTGGAGCATGGCAAGATAGTTTATGAGAGAGATAGAAGAAAAGCACGGTTAGCAAAGACAGTCTTGTTAAGCTGACGACACCTCACAAGTAGCAGAAAGCATAGACAGTAGCCTGTGGTAACAGTCTCTGTGTCACACATTCAAAGATTTCAGACTCTGTTTCTCTCTCCTGTGAGTTAACCTTTTTTAGATCCTGACAAAGGAGGAAACCTCAGAGAAAGCCTGGCTGTGTATTTTGCTAATGCATATTTTTCTCTGCCGATGAAAATCTCCTCCAAAGAACGTTTGCAGAGATATTTCTGTCTGTAGTCCCTCCGAATAACCATCTCAAAATGTCAATAAAGTATATTTTGGGGTGAAATATTTTTAGCTTCCTCTAATACATCTAAATGCTAACCCATGTTCTACCTTTAACAACTTAATAAAAAAATAACATTTTTTAGCTGTATTGTATAATGCCCATTATTCAGCATCTGCCCCCATCTATGCAATCAAGAGCTTTCATTCTATTTCTCCTGGGTTGTGCCTGCCTTTCCCTAGATCTTAGAATAGTTTCTTATTCGAAAACCTTATCTCTCTGTTAAATGTTTTTAAATGTTGTGTTCTTCCAGATTATCTAAAAATTTTTGTTTTTTCTTCTTTTTCTCCTTTTTAGCTTTCTACATCCTAAGCAGAAGTGAGAATCCTGTACATGTATTTTAAATTATTGTTTTGATTTGTGAAAATTTATTTTGAGAATACAGTGAACTATATCCTGACTTCTCCAGTAACTTATACCAACAGGAAGGAAAAAAACTTCAAGATAAATATTTAATGCAGTTAAAAAGCCAATAAGTATTTAATTACTATTAAAAGTTGATTATAGACTGAGTATGGATATAGACATTTAAAAAATCCTGCCAGCTCTGTTTTGGGATTTTTACTCTTTCAATAAATATTCAAGTATCTAGTATGATATAGAAATAATGTTAAATTTAAATATAGAACCATTATATTTCCATTATAGTAGAAAAAAATGTACAGTAGTGTTTAGAATGTTTTTGTGAACAGAAGGAAGATAAAGCATAATAACTGACCAATAGCCAGAGAATTACAATTATGATAAGTCTTGTGAATGACATACATTTTCATTTTAATATAAAAATCAATTTGTGTGACCCAAAGCAGAACTTTTCTTTTCATAAAAAATTGTCTGTACATAGCTATTACCCCATTTCTTACTGATTGTGGACTCACTTAATGAAAAACTCCATATCTCCATAACAGCATTAAGAATGACTGACTTTTCTTTGTTTTTACAAAAGATTGCTTTCCTGCTGACATTTTCTAAATTCTCAAAAGAACAAGTAAAAATTAAAACTTTGCTTTTATCATTTCTCTTCTCTCTCTTCTATTTGTCTACAGATTTGTCTGTCACCACTTTTCAATCTCTAGTTCTTGTATACAATATCAGTGCAATGAATATATACTATTGTCACTCTTAAACTTTTTTTTTTCTGTCTGAATTTTCTTAACTTTATGTTTCTGGCTTATTCTAATTCATTATTAGGTTTTTAATTCAAATAGCATTTCTAATAGAAACTCTTTCTTCCTTGACTGGTCTATGGCACAAACTAGGTACTCAATCAAGTTTTCCTTAAATAAATAAATTAGGAGTATACATTTAGATCACCTATATAAAAGAATCCCAGCACATGCATCAGAGAAAATGGAACTACCTTAAAAGGATTTAAGAAAAATTGATGTATCTTTCCCCTTTTTGTTGAGTGCTTGTTGAAAGTTTTTTGAATTTCTACATGGAAAGGCATATTCGTATCCAAAAACAGAACCAAGCCCTATTCAGTTCCAGCAACAGAATCTCATCAGTTTAGTGCCAAAAGCTCCTGACTCAATAAATGCAATTCTGCTGAGTGCCTGTGATTATGGGGTACTGTAAAGAAAAGGTGCTGATTTTTTAACACTTGTGTAGTCAGATCCTCTGTTAACCAGTTAAGAAAATGGAAAGCATTCTAAGATTAGGGAAACCTCTACTTTTTGCACTTTCTACTGAATCGCTGTCTTTTCTCACCTTGGTGGCTACATTTGCCTACTTAGCAGCATGAATGGTCACTTGTTTTTCATGTACCAAAGTGCAAATGACTGAATGCAGCTCTATGTGAATACTCATTAGCGCACAATTTTTATGCCTACCACCATTTAATTCATTTTTCCACATTCAAGGCACACAAAAAGCTGAGTTGAATGGTATTCAGAAATACACTTGGAATTGACCAAATGTAATTTTGTCATTCATTCACAAATGTAAAATATCAAAAATGTATAGAAATTAAAATATTTTCCTAAATAAATCATTTTGCTTGACTTTGTATGCATGTATGAAGTACATAATTTGCATGGTAACACATAAATGTTACAAATTTGTTTTGAATTTCTAAGTACTTGTATTTTCATAACTGCTCCAGAGCTGCAGGTGCACAGGATATTTATACCGAAGGCAGGAATAATGTATGAATTATTTTCCCTTCCAATTACTTCCCCTCTTTAATACCCAGCCTGATTGTCTGATAGTAAATAGGACTATGTTGAAAAAAGGAGGAGAAGAAAGAAACTTTACAATTTCTGCCAAATGACTTTAGTTCATCTATAAAGGGCATACATTTACCTTCTTTCCCCAAATCCCCTCCAAGCATGAAGCTAGAGAGTATTTTTGCCTTGGATCTTTAAGAGCTCTCATTCTTTGCTGATTTGAATAAATTTTACTACTTTTAACCACTAAGTGGTTTTATTCATTAATAGAATATTTTTATGGCTCTCTTTCCTTTTCAATGTAGACAAAAATACCTCTGTTTATGTGTTACTTTCTCACAAAAGAAGAAATTTCGTTAAAATAATATATGCCTCAGACAAAAGAAAACTAATAAATAAGACCTAACCTTTTCTTAAAAAGCCCATGACTTCTTAAAACCACAAATTTCTGCTGAGTTAGTGACAAAACAGAGAAAACTCTATCTTTTTTAATATATAATGATGTGTTTTCACTGTAAAATATAAAGTTTGATTGCCAGGCAATAACTTCTAATTGGCATAAGTGATCTTGTAAAAAGAGATATTCAAGTATCTATTCTGAATAAGTTCTTGGTAGATTTAAGTACAGGAGGAAGGGGAGAAGTTAAACATATTTTTGTCTTTGTATTGTGTTAAATAATTTATGGTTTTTGAATAGGATTATACTCAAATATTGAGAGAAAAATATATTGCTCGATTTCTTCTATTCTGTTTTCAAACAATGCAATTATAAATCCTTTTGTAAAGATTAATTCATTTTCAAGTATAATAAAGAATCCTCAGATATACATAAGCCAGTAGGTTTCAGAAAAAAAAATAACCTTTGTATAAATACCTGATACATAAACAAACACATAAATGAATAAATTCTATATGTGGGTTTTTAAACTTTAAACTGAGTGGTAAAGAAGCAGTAAATTGGAGAAAGCCACATCTTGGTAACTGTGTACCCTACATTTGCTTTTGGTATGCTTCACTGTCATAGGCCCCATAAAACCTTTCATAGGCTCCTTTATTTATTGTCACACAACAATGCTTGAACATAGCAGACAGTAGATTTATTCCTCTTTACTATTATGCCATATTACATTTACCCCAGGGTCAATTATTATTTACTGAGTAATATCTATGTGCTAGACACTATGTTATATGCCAAGGATGTAATATTGAATAAGACACTGTGCAGATCTTCCCAGGGAAGTCATTGAGAGTGGATGGAGGAAGACACAGATGCTGGGCTGAAAGGGGAGGAAGCTGAGGACACTATATGGGACTACCATGCATCTAGACTCATTCTTAGCTCCTGTTGGCTCCTGGGGAAGGGGTAAGTTTAGCAGGTAAGGAGCAACCCACTCTTGCCACAGGCTTTGGAAATCTTGCCAGTAGGAGGAGACCCTACAACCCCCATGGAGTGGTCAGGGAGAGGTAGCTAAAGAAGTGGTAGGGGCAGAACTCCAGCTGATGCAGAGCCCATAGGATTTGGTGTGGGGGCTGGTGATGCTCATTCTCCAGGGCTCATTTTGCACCCCTAGGAGACTTTAGTTTTAGGGAAACTATGGGGCCTAAACTATGTAGAGTGGTCTTACCCATGAGATGGGACAGGTCTGGCCTGAGTATACCATGGTCTGCTGGCCTCTCCTGGGGCCCCAGCCTGGCAGTGCCTGCCTGTAGTGCAGCCACAAACACCCAAATGTAGAGCCTCCTGGAGGCCTGCAACACAGCTTCTGCATTGGTAGATCATGTTTGACAAGTGGAGAACTCCAGTAGAACACCCACATGGACACATACCAGCCCACCCATGCCTTCCCCTCACTGCAGCCTTCCTTGAGTCATTTTGCCTGCACACACTCATCCTCGGCCACCCCCACATAACTTTGCCAGTGCGTGTGCATGTGTGTGGACCTTGATACCTCTTTCTTGTCAGTGCACATGCCCTGCCATGCCACAGCTGCCCAGCATGAGTACATCACATCCCCCAACACCCAACACCCTGACATGCCACCAATGCTGCAAGAGCATTTGCAGGCACAGAGACCACCAGCCTCATGCCCACCAGCTCCCTGACCCCATGCCCACACTGCCACCCATGTGAAACTATGCAGTGAGACCAGTGGATCTGCCCCCAACTCCAATGGCAGTTGCTGTCCATGTGAACATGCTCACAGAGGGCATACCCAGTCCTGCAACTGTCAGTGCCTAGCCCTCATGCTAACATTGCTGAACATGCATATGGACGTGAGAAGGCCTGCTGCCACTGCCCTACAAAGCCCTGTGACTGGCACTACCTATTGAAGTGTTCAGACCAGTGGTCTGGGACAACTTGGTCCTTCCCGCATGGCATGTTTCTAACCTCCAAAAGCCAGAGAATAAAGCCATGGGCCTGATACCAGCCCCTGAGAGTTAAAGCATGCAGTTGAGGTATAATGAGCTGAGCCTTGACCCACTAAAATCCTCCAGAAATAAAGCCGATCTACTGAGCCCACCTTATACCACAGTCAACCCACCAAGAACATCAGACATGATAAAAGAAAAAAATTCAAAGGTCCGGAACCTCAAAGATTGAAGGAGCATCAGCCCTTAAAGATGAGAAGAAAACTAGCACAAGAACTCTGGCAACTAAAAAGACCAGAGTTTCTTCTTACCTTCAAATAATCACACTAGTTCCCCAGCAATGGTTCTTACACAGAATGAGATGGCAGTAATGACAGAAATAGAATTCAGAATACAGATGGCAAGAAAGATCATTAACATCCAATCCAAGGAATATAACAATTACAATAAAACAATACAGAGGCCGATAGACAAAACAGTCATAATAAGAAAGAACACTGATCTGATAGAGCTAAAAAACACTCTACAGAAATTTTGCAATGAAATCACAAGTATTAATGGTAGAACTGACCAAGATAACAAATCAATCTCAGAGTTTGAAGACTGAATCTCTGAAGTACCTCAGTAAGAGAAAAATATAAAAAAAAATTAAAAAGAATGAACAAAACCTTGAATAAATATAAGATTATGTAAAGAGACCCAATCTATGACTCATTGGCATTCCTGAGAGACAAGGAGGGAAAAAATGCATCTTGGGAAATATATTTCAGGATATTGTCCTTGAAAATTTCCCCAGACTTGCTAGAGAGGTCAACATTCAAATTCATGAAAAGCAGAGAACTCCTGAGAAATACTATACAAGAAGACCATTCCCAAGACACCTACTCATCAGATTCTCCAAGGTTGAAATGAAAGGAAAATGTTAAAAGCAGCTAGAGAGAAGGGCAGGTCTCTTACAAAGGGAGCCCCATCAGGCTAAAAGAAGACCTGTCAGATGAAACCATATAGGCCAGAGGAGATTGGGGGCCTATACACAGCATTCATAAAGGAAATAATTCTCAACCAAGAATTTTATATCAGGTCAAACTAAGCTTTATAAGTGAAGAAAAAATAAGATCTTTTTCGACAAGAAAATGCTTAGGAAATTCATTACCACCAGACGTGCCTTACAATAGTTCCTTAAGGGAGTGATAAATATGAAAAGGAAAGGCTGTGACTAGCCACTACAAAAACACACTTAAGTACATAGACCAGTGACACTATAAAGCAATCACACAAACAAGTCTGCATAATAACCAGCTAACAACATAACAGGATCACATCCACTTACGTCAATAATAACCCTGAATGTAAATGGGCTAAATGCTCCAGTTGAAAGGCACAGAGTGGCAAGTTGCATAAAGAAGTAAAACCCAATTGCATACCGTCTTCAAGATACTCATCTCACAGGCAATGACACCCATAGGCTCAAAGTAAAGGGATGGAGAAAAATTTACCAAAAAAACAAAAACCGAAAAAAAAAAAGGAAAAGCAGGAGTTCCTATTCTAATATCATACAAAACAGACTTTAAGCTAACAAAAATCAAAAAACACAAAAAAGAGCATTACATAATGTGAAAGGGCTAAACTCAACAAGAAGACCTATCCTAAAAATATATACACCCAATACAGGAGCACTCAGATATATAAAGCAAGTTCTTGGAGACCTATGAAGAGATTTAGATAACAACACAATAAGAATGGAAGACTTTAACACCCCACTGACAGTATTAGACAGATCATTGAGGCAAAAAAATAACAAAGAGATTTGGGACCTTAACTCAACCCTTGAGGAAATGGACATAATAGACATCTACAGAACTCTCCACATAAAATCAACAGAATATACATTCTTCTCATCTGCACATGGCACATACTCTAAAATTGACCACACAAGTGGCCATAAGATAACTCTCAGCTAATAAAAAAATGAAATTATATCAACCACATCATCAGACCACAGTGCAATAAAAATAGAAACCAATCCTAAGAAAATAACTCAAAACCATACAATTAAATGGGAATTAAACAACCTGCTTCTGAATAACTTCTGAGTAAACAATGAAATAAAGACAGAAATCAAGAAATTCCTTGAAACTAATTAGAAAAAAAAGATACAACATACCAGAATCTCTGGGATACAGCCAAAGCAATATTAAGAGGGAAGTTGAAAGTACTAAATGTCCACGTCAAAAAGTTACAGAGATCTCAAACTAACAACCTAACATCACATTTAGAGAAACTAGAGAAACAAGAGCAAACTAAGTTTATATCTAGAAGAAGACAAGAAATAACCATAATCAGAGCTGAACTGAAGGAAACTGAGATGTGAAAAAGTGTGCAAATATCAGTGAATTAAGGAGCTGGTTCTTTGAAAGAATGAATAAGACAGATAGACCACTACCTTGTCTAATAAGGAAAAAAAAAGAGAGATGAAACAAATAAACACAAACCAAAATGGCAAAGGGGACATTACCACTGACTCCCCAAAAATACAAAAACCTTCAGACACCTTTATTGTATTATTCACGGTTTTCTAGATGGACAGAACTAATAGGATATGTGTGTGTGTGTGTGTGTGTGTGTGTGTGTGTATGTATGTGTGTGTTGATGTATGTGTGTGTGTGTATATATATATATATATATATATGCATATGGAAGTTTATTAAGTAGTATTAACTCACAAGATCACAAGGTCCCACAACAGGCTATCTGCAAGCTGAGAAGCAAGCAAGCTGAAGAACTTGGAGTCTGATGTTTGAGGGCAGGAAGCATCCAGCATGGAAGATAGATGTGGGCTGGGAGGCTAAGCCTGTCTAGCCTTTTCACATTTTCCTGCCTGCTTTTATATCCTGGCCATGTTGGCAGGTGATTAGATGGTACCCACCCAGATTCAGGATGGGTCTGCCTTTCCCAGCCCACTGACTCAAATGTTAGTCTCCTTTAGCAACACCCTCACAGACATACCCAGGATCAATACTTTGCATCCTTCAATCCAATCAAGTTGACACTGACTATTAACCATCACAATTATGAACACCTTATGCACACAAGCTAAAAAACCTAGAAGTAATGAATAAATTCCTGGAAACATACAACCTCCCAAGATAAACCAGGGAGAGACTGAATCCCTGAACAGACCAATAATGAGTTCTGAAACTGAATCACTGATAAAAAACCTACCAACCAGAAGGAGCCCAGGACCAGATGGATTCACAGTCACATTCTACCAGATGCATGAGAAAAAGTTATTACCATTTCTACTAAAACTATTCCAAAAAACTGAGGAGAAAGGATTCCTTCCTAAGTCATTCTATGAGACCAGCATTATTCGGATACCAAAACCAGGCAGAGATACAAGAAAAGAAAACTTTATGCTAATATCATTCATGAACACAGATGCAGAGATCCTCAACAAAATACTAGCAAACTGAATCCAGAAGTACATCAGAAAGCTAATCTACCAGGATCAAGTAGGTTTTATCTCTGTGATTCAAGGTTGTTTCAACATAATTAAGTAAATAAATGTTATTCACCTCTTAAACAAAACTAGGAACCAAAAAACATAATCATCCTAACAAATACATTAGATAGAACTCAACATCCCTTCATGTTAAAAACCCTCAACAAACTAGGCACTGAAGGGACATACTTCAAAATAACATATCCATCTATGAAAAACCCAAAGCCAACTTTACACTTATGGGTAAAAGCTGGAAACATTTCACTTGGAAGCCAGAACGAGACAAGGATGTCTTCTCTCACCACTTTTATTCAACATACTGCTGGAAGTACTGGCCAGAGCAATCAGGCAAAACAAATGAATATAAGGTATCCCAATAGGAAGAAAGAAAGTCAAACTATCTATGTTCGTAGATAATTCTATACCTGGACAACCCTGTAGTCTTTGCTGAAAAGCTCCTTTTTCTGATAAACACCTTCAGCAAAGTTTCAGGATACAAAATCAATGTACAAAAATCAGTAGCAGGGTCGGGTGTGGTGGCTTATGCCTGTAATCCCAGCACTTTGGGAGGCCAAGGCAGGCGGATCATCTGAGGACAGGAGTTCAAGACCAGCCTGGCCAACATGGTGAAAGCCTGTCTCTACTAAAAATACAAAAAATTAGCTGGGCGTGGTGGTGGGTGCCTGTAATCCCAGCTACTCGCGAGGCTGAGGCAGGAGAATCACTTGAACCCGGGAGACGGAAGTTGCAGTAAGCCGAGATCATGACATTGCACTCCAGCCTGGACAAGAGCGAAACTCTGTCTCAAAAAAAAAAAAAAAAAAAAAAAAAAAAAATCAGTAGCATTCCTATATACCAGCAACATCAAACCTGAGAGTCAAATCAAGAAAAGAACACAATCCCATTCACAACAGCCACAAAAGAATAAAATACCCAGGAATACAGCTAACCAAAAAGAATAAAGACCTCTACCATGAGAATTACAAAACACTGCTCAAAGAAATCAGATATGACCCAAACAAATAGAAAAGCATTCCATGCTAATGCATGGAAAGAATCAGTATTGTCCAAGTGGCCACACTGCTCAAAGCAAATTACAGATTCAATGCTATTCCTATGAAATTACCAATGAAATTATTTATGTAATTAGAATAAACTATTTGAAAATTCATATGGAATCAATGTAGAGCCTGAATAGTCACAGCAATCCTAAGCAAAAAGAACAAGCCTGGAGGCATCACATTACTCAACTTCAATCTATACCATAAGGCTACAGTAACACACACAAAAAAATGGTATAGGTACACAAAAACCCCACATAGATCAATGGAACAGAATAGAAAACCCAGAAATAATGCTGCACACCTACATCCATTTGATCTTTAACAAAATCCACAAAAAGAAACAATGGGGAAAAGACTCCCTATTCAATAAATGGTGCTGGGATAACTGACTAGCTACATGTAGAAGATTGAAAATGAACCCCTTCTTTATACCATATACAAAATCAACTCAAGATTGATTAAAGACATAAATGTAAAACCAAAACCTCTAAAAAAACCCTAGAAGATAATCTAGAAAATACCATTCTGTACATAGGACCCAGCAAAGACTTCATGACAAAGACTCCCAAAGCAATTGCAACAAAAACAAAAATTGACAAATGGGACCTAATTAAACTAAAGAGCTTCCGCACAGCAAAAGAAACTATCAACAGAGTAAACAAATAACCTTAATAATAGGAAAAATATTTGTAAATTATTCATCCAACAAAGGTCTAATATCCCGCATCTATAAGAAATTTAAACTTACAAAAAGAAGAAAACCAACAACCCCATTAAAATTGAGCAAAGGACTTGAACAGACACTCTTTAAAAGAAGACATTCATGCAGTCAACAAGCTCATGAGAAATGCTCAACCTCACTAATCATTAGAGAAATGCTAATCAAAAGCATAATGAGATACCATCTCTCATCAGTCATATTGGCTACTATTAAAAAGTAACGAAATGACAGATGGTAGTGAGATTGTGGAGAAAAGGTAATGCTTATGCACTGCATATGGGAATGTGAACTAGTTCAGCCATTGCGGAAAGCAGTTTGGTGATTTCTCAAAGAACTTAAAACAGAATGACCAATGACCATTTGACCTAGCAATCAAGTTATTGAGTATATACCCAAAGGAATATAGGTTGTTTTACTGTAAAGGCACATGTGTGCATATGTTCATTGCAGCATTGTTAACAATAATAAAAGACATAGAATCAACCTAAATGTCCATTAATGGTACACTGGATAAAGAAAATATGGGACATGTATACAATAAAATATGATGCAGCCATAAAAGAGAATTAGATCACGTCCTTTGCAGCAACATTGATGGAGCTGGAGTGTATTATCCTAAATGAACTAATAGAGAAACAAAAAACCAAATAATGCATATTCTCACTTATAAGTGGTAGGTAAACATTGAGTACATATGGACACAAAGAAGGGAACAACAGACACCAGGGCCTACTTGAGGGTAAAGAGTGGGAGGAGGCTGAGGATAGAAACACTATCTATAGAGTACTTTATTTCCTGGATGAGGAAATAATTTGTACACCAAACCCTGCAACACTCCAATTTCCTATATAGCAAATCTGCACATGCACCCCTGAACCTAAAAGTGTTAAAAAAAAAAAAAAAAAGAACAAGGCACTGTGATTTCACTGAGCTTACACTTCTGATAATATACAAAAGCAGGTAAGTGGTTATATTGCTCTTCATCTATTAACAAATGAGGAATGATCAAGTCAGTATTTTGCTCTTTCTACTTCATTTGTAACTGTTGCTTTTGATTAAGGTAAATTTAATTCATCTTGGTCTTTCAATGGGCATGCTAACCTTGACGAGTGAATATTGAAACAAAAGAAAAATTGAATATAATAGAGAAATCATATTCACATAGCTTTTATTACAGTATATTATATAATTGTTCTTTTTTATTGTTACTGTTAATCTTCTAAGGGCTAAAAAAAAAACTTGTTCTTTGCCCTCTTAAGCTTCACTAAAAAATTAACTGACAAAAGACAGATTAATAGAAGAAATAGAATACAAATTTATTAGCATGCAAGGGGAAAAATGACAGAGTAAATTACCCAATATCCCAATGGGATACAGATGCTTACATGCCCTGCCTCTTTAGAGAAAGGGAGATGGGGAAGTGTGGATACTTCTAGATGGGAGGAAATAATTTTTAAGGGAATTCTATGGGCTTGAAGAACAAACAATGGCCCGGGAGAAAGTCTGCTGAGCCCAAAGAACAGACAATGGTTTGTGATGTAAACCAAAAATAAAATCCTAAGGCCTGCAACCAACTGAATGGACACCTCCTCTTGATCAAGAGGATCCCAAAGAAATCTGAAAAACTAAATGTCAGGCCATGACAGGAAAAAAAGTCTGACACACCTTATTGTACTGTCTCCCTTTTGGAGTTCAGGCACAACTAACATGAATTAACATTAAAATAGAGATCATAAGACTGACAAAACAAATTCTGGCAATAAGATACCAAATTCCAAGCATCACATGACCAATAGCAGGCCTTGAAAGAAATGAAAACATTTTACCCCCAAATGTATTTCTTTGACTTATTTTGAAATGGCCCTGCAAAGCCAACTTCCGTGTGGGAAATTTGCATCTGTAGAGAATCTCTTTCCCTTTCTAGGAGTTTTCTGGATTCAAGAGAAATTTAACTAAGAATCTGACAACTTTTAATGTCCAAAAAGAGATATCTAACCATCTATTCTTTCTGAAACTTGATACTTACTTAAAGGCTTCATCCACATAACAAAACCTAGGCTTCCACAAACCCTCTTTTCTTAACAAAAGCACTTCTTTCTACTGACTTCAACTCTTTAGGGTAAGCTTAACTCTTTCAACCAATTGCTAACCAGAAAAACTTCAAATCCACCTATGGGCTGTAATCCTCTGTTTGAGATGTCCCATCATTCCAGGTCAAATCAATGTATACCTTATATTTAGTGATTTATGTCTTTTCCTATAACTTCTGTTCCCCTAAAATGTATAAAATCAAGATATAATCCAATCTCCTCAGGGTCACTTTCTCTGAACCTCTTGAGACAGTTCCCCAGGTCATGGCCATTCATATGAGCTCAGAATAAACCTCTTTAAATATTTTAGATAATTTGGCTTTTTTTTTGTCAACAATGGTATAAGTCTGTCCACGTGTGTTGAAAGACTTTAATCTTTCTTCCAGTAATATGAATTCAGTGAACAAAAACTCAGGGAAGGGACCAGAGTTATTATTTTTCTTCCTTTGGCATTTCCAGACTTTAGGCAGGTAATAGAACTTTAGAGAAAAACTTCATCCTGTGCTTTGGGAGAGACACAAAATTGAGAAACAGGAGGGGTTGGAGAAGTTTAGAGAGACCTTAAGGCTTCTTTAGTTTAGCATGTCAAAGTGTCACATTTGGGGGTACCCATTTATGATTCCCAACAATCTCTTATTGTACCAAATTTATAAATTTAACTTTTCATACATATGATTGAATGCAATAAAAATAGTACATATCGGGTTCAATACTATCTGTGATTTGAAGCATAGGCTAGGGACTTGAAATGCGTCTTCCATAGATAAGGAAATTGATACTGTACCTATATTTGAAAGAATAATACAGCTGGGAATAAATATGTAGTTTACTATCATTGTGAAACTGGTTTACTAAGTACGTTCGATTTTTTTATCAGAAGATTTAGGTAATCATCTTGTTTTCAGAACTACTATGAAATTCATTATTGAGAGTTAATAAAAAAGGATTAGACAGATAATTTTGAATTCTTTGTGAAAAATAAATCATATTATTGAGTTATGTTGGAATAGTTTCGTTATGGTAAGAGACATAGTCTAGGCACATACACTGGTTGGTACAGATGGATTTGGATTATTTGATGGAATTTTAACTGAGAAAAGATAGTAAAATAATTTTTCTTTTTTTTTTTTTTTGAGATGAGTCTTGCTCCGTCACCCAGGCTGGAGCGCAGTGGCTCAATCTCTGCTCACTGCAACCTCCGCCTCCTGGGTTCAAGTGATTCTCCTGCCTCAGCCTCCCGAGTAGCTGGGACTACAGGTGCGTGCTACTACACCCGGCTAATTTTTTGTATTTTTAGTAGAGATGGGGTTTCACTGTGTTAGCCAGGACGGTCTCGATCTCCTGACCTTGTGATCCACCCGCCTCAGCCTCCCAAAGTGCTGGGATTACAGTCATGAGCCACTGCACCCGGCCAATAAAATAATTTTTCTAGAAAGCAGTGTGTATTTTTCCCTAATGAAGGAAGTTTATTGAGGATATATAAATCCATATAAAAATATTTTCGTGTTATAATTTAAATCCCAATCTTATGTCACTTCTTTGTACTTCAATATCTAGGATTCCTTATTTTTCATTTAATGCCAATTTAAAATATATATGTATTATAGGCTGTCACATGACTTCCCAATTTAATGGGAATGAAATGTTATGCAGAAACAAAACAATACAGCATATAAATTCATATGAAAGTCTTATGACAATGATATGCTTAGTATAGCACAGCTTCAATGATATTCTCAACACTTTACTTTTCTAATGTCTTCTATTGACTTCTAAATGTAACAGAGTCCTAGTAAGAAGAGAAACTCAGTGTTCAGTGAATTCTTAGGCATTTTTGGTAGGCAGAGGGTGTTTTGTTGTTGTTAATAAGACACACTTATTTTGAGTCATATGTTTTATTTTTATTTTTAAATTACAATCATTTCATTGATTGTAACTACAATAAATACCACCAATCCATTAATTCACCTCAGAAATTATACTCAAAATTATATGTCACATACGATTAATATACCCGATCCTGAAATAGTACTTGGTTGACTGAAAATTGTGAAAAGCGTGTTTTTAAGGAGGCAAGTTTAAAAAAGTTACAGAGTAAAATTCAAAACTGTTTATTATTTCCTTATAAAAAAATCATTATAATATATAGTATATATAAAAAACAAATTAATAATTATATAATAATTATTTGACAAGATGTCACAAAATAAGTGCAGATATTTTGGGCTAATATTTACCAATCTCTCATGGCAGCAGATGAATAACATAAAACTTAGCTTAGGGGGGTGAAAGTCAAAATACATAAATATGCCATGAGGTATTTAAGTAATCACTTTAATTTTCTTTTGAAAAAGTACTGACCTAGCAAATTGTTAGTAGTTAATTTTGTACAGTTTTTAATATTATAAATGCTGTTTTTAAATAAAGTCTTATAACTCCAGAGAAGTATCATTTATGAATAGGGCACTATTTGTCTGAAGCATTCCTCTCAATTTATCAATCTTGTTTATGTGTAAGAAATATTGGCTACAGGTTATTTGTGGAATTTTAAGGTCTGGTTTTCCTTCTCTAGTGGTAATATTCAAAGTGTGATCTGAGTTTAAGGGTTAAAGAAATCATTGATTGTTGTTTTATGAAGACTAGTAGGTTCTATTATGATAGGTCTCAAGTCTATGCCAACTAAATCTCAACAAAATACTTAACTTGCATAGGTAGATAAACACAAGATGCTTCTCTTTCACACTATTTCCTGTGAAATATTTCAGCAATTTACAATGTCTCTGATGAGGCTCAGGATATGCCACCAAAAATATGACTATAAGAGACCAGAGTATTCCACCTCAAATATGCCTAGCTAACATAATGATTATTTTGAGCTGTTATTTTAAGAAACTTCAGATTAATGAGAAACTCAGAGAAGTTATCTTTTTGTAAGAGACTTTTAAATCTATAAAGGAAATATCCATTTGTAAGGTGGTCTTTCTGCACCAGGAAGAGAAAGGAAACTAAATCACTGGAGACTCTGATTCAATGGAGAAGGCAAAACAATCCTATCCTTGTATGACAATGCTCTTCCTGACCACCTTGTCTTAATCAATGCCCTTTATTCTTTGTTTCAGAGAACAATAATAATTTAAGCCGATGTTTAAGACAGCTCTTTGACATCTACTCTAAAAATTTACTCGTTTCTCTGGATTATTTTTATTTATACAGGAGGTATACATGCTATTAAAATTCTGTTTTTCTCTTGTTAATCTGTTTCTTGTTATAGGGAGTCTCAACTAAGAACTAATGAAAGGTGGAGAAAGAAATTATTTTTCCTCCTGTACATTTCTCAAGTTGAATCCATAGTCACTAAATGTATTAGTTTTTATTACTGTTTTAGTGCTCTCTTCCCAGCCAAATAAGGCTATTTTGCATTTGTTTCAAAATTGTCTGTTTTAGTGTGCACTTCCAGATGGCAAAACCTATAAGGTTTGAAAACTGAATGACCACATTCAAATCCTAGATATAGCTCCAAGTGAATTTGTGAAATTTTCTAATATTCTGTTTTCTCGTTGCCTCATCTCCAACTGTGGTACAGAATTTTTGCTTGTTTGTTTTGGATGGGGTTCAGGATTGGAGATAATGTTTGTAAGTGATTAGCACATACATGCACATAAAATATATGTTCATATACATTATAACTCCATCTCTTTTTGAGTCCATCTTTCCTTCCTGTTATAGGTTCTCTCTGTCTCTCTCCCCCCACTCCCTCCCTCCCTCCCTTCCCCCCACACATCTCCTTGTCTCTATTTCCAAAAATTTTATCTTAATTCATACCATATAATTCCATATTCGGATTGCCTACCTAGACTTCCTGTTGATGGCACAAAAGGTATAATAAGGCAACAACCAATACAATATGTCAAAATTAAGCCAGTATATAAGAATAAAAAATTTTTAAAAATTATTAATCCTCTTGTTGAGCATGGATTTAGTATAAGTATTTCTTTATTTTTAGCACCTTCACTGGGCACTCTGATGCACTATTAAATGTCTGGAAGTTGTCTTAGCCTTAAAGGTCAGCATATTCACTAGTTAGTGGCATTTGGTTCTTTTACTACTATTGTTTTATTGAAGACATATGAATCACTCTAATATCAGCTTGTATGCGGGTAATCATTGACAAAATGATACTCAATGATATACAATTTTGTAAAAGCAAATATGTTTAGCATTTCTTATATGAATTTTCCACCATTACGTACATTTGTTCTTAGTTAAATCAAGTCTATGAATGTCAGTTCTCTGAGAAAGCACAGCATGAATTTTCTCATTTCTTAGTACTATGTTCACTTGGTAAATTTGATAAATATAAGCAACTTTATTTGATTCCCATTACAATTAATTTAGCAATAATGTTGAACTATGATGTTTTGCCTTTGTGCATGATTTCATGACAATTTTAAAGAATTCAGGTCTTGTATATAATAATTGTTTTTAGCATTACACCTAATTTCTGTGTAATCACGGTCATTACTTGCATCCTTCTATTAAATAACATGTAAATATTAACCATGTGGGTAATAGAAATGAGACTAAAGCACAATTATTTGTTTATTATTAGATGTAGAAGATATATCTTTAGGAAGTCCCTGGATATCTACTGATTATGATAGTTACTTTAATCTATATTAAGAGCGACTAAATGACAACTGCTATAATTGTTCCAAATACATTATAGGAAAGTATTGATGGCCTTATGAACCCTATTGTATTAGTACATTCTCACACACTATACAGAAATATCCAAGACTGGATAATTTACAAGAAAAGAAGTTTAATTTGTTCACAGTTCTGCAGGATGTACAGGTAGCATGGAGGCATCTGCTTCTGGGGAGGCCTCAGAGAGATTTCAATCATGGTGAAAGGCAAAGAAGAAGCAGGCACCTCACATTGCTGAAGAAGGAGGAAGAGGTGCTATACACTTTTAAATAGCCAGATCTTGTGATAAATCACTCACTCACTATCACAAGAACAGCGCCAAGGAGATGGTGCTAAACCCATTCATGAAGGACCATCCCCGTGATCCAGTCACCTCCCACCAGGCCCCACCTCCAACACTAGAGATAATAATTCTACATGAGATTTAGGCAGGGATGTAAATTCAAACAATATCACCTATACCACCTTAAACAGATTTCACCATGGTTCTTTTCTATATCCATGTAAATAATTTCATAAGTTGCAACCTACTTTATTTTTCATTTTGACAATTTAAAAAATTCAGATAAGACTTCTAACACTTTAAGTATTTCATGTTCAAATAAGTTTTCCTTGTAATCAACTGCATTTGGATGATGAAAATTCAACTCCTCTCAGCAGCAAATCCTCACTACCAATTATGTTTTGGATCGGTTTTTACAATATTTTCAAAGAATATAAGTATATTTAGTATTTAAAAGCAAATCTAACCTTATATTTGTCTAAATATTATTTATAAGTCAATTTTCTAAGCCCTCATGCTTAACATCAAGATTTTTAAAAATTCAGATTTTTTTTGCTATACAAATTTATTATCAAATTACAATCTTTTCAAAGTAGGGCTTACCTTTAATTTTCCAAAGTGTTCTTTTAAAAACACAGGATTTTTAAACAAAAGGAAAAAAAAGTATGTGTTTGGCATTTTATAAAACTCAGGTGTATTCGTTTGTTTTAATACTGCTATAAAGAACTCCCCAAGACTGGGAAACTTATAAAGGAAAGCGGTTTAACTGACTCACAGTTCAGCATGGCTGGGGAGGCGTCAGGAAACTTACAATCATGGCGGACGGGGAGGCAAGGCACTTTCTTAACAAGGTGGCAGGAAGGAGAAGAGTGAGGAGCGAAGGGGGGAGAGTGCCTTATACAACCGTCAGATCTCGTGAGAACTCACTCACTAGCCTGAGAACAGCAAGGGGAAAAGTGCCTCCATGATCCAACTACCTCCACCTGGTCTCTCCCTTGACACATGGGAATTATGGGGATTATAATTCAAGATGAGTTATGAATGGGAAAATAATGCCTAACTGTATCATCAGTCTGCTTTGAAAACAGCTGAGGCAGAATGTTTCCCTCCATATTAAGTGTCTTTAGCTTAACAATTCTCAATATTTTGGAAAGAAACATTTTAATTTATTTAACTCTCCTCTTTGAAAATTTATTTTCAGAAAGTTTTACATATTAAAAGTCAAGTTGTTAGCTTTGGATAAATTTGGGTTACGGATTTTAAGATAAGCAACTTGGCAAAGGGGAGAAAATATCTTCGAGATCTTCATTTGAGTCAAAATATCATTTGGACAGAATTTCCATCTCTGAACCAAAATATAAACAGTAATGTTTTGATTTTTTTAATGTTTTAGAGCAATTAATTGTTTCCTTTTTTTTTCTATTGAAAGGCAATGTGCTTCACTAAGAAGTTTGCTTACACATTGTATTAGTTTTAGATTGCTGTTCTAACAAATTGCCACAAACTCAGTGATTTAAGACAAAATTAGTTTATTATCTTAGTGTTTTGGGTGTCAGATGTTCAAAATGAGTGTCCCTGGGCTAAAATCAAAGAGTTGGCAGAGTTGCATTCTTTTCTGGAGGCTTCAGAAGGAAAACATTTCCTTGCTTTGTCTAGCTACTAAAGGCTTCCCACACTCCTTGGCTCATGGCCCCTTTCTCCATCTTCAAAGCCAGCAAGTGAAAGTTGAGGCTTCACATTGTATTACTCTGTCCATTGTAACATTGCCTTTTCTGACTTTGACCCTATTACCTATATCTTTTGCATATTTTTTAGTGTTTAAAAATTTCACATATAAGTAGAATAAAATTTATCATTTTAAAGTGTATGCATTAGTATTAGTATTTTCACTATATTTTTCCTTCTTACACTTTTGAAAACCCTTGTGATTATATTAGGTCCACCTGGATAATATAGGATACTCACTGAAGGGGATAAAATATAAATTCTTTCAACTTTCAAAAAGTTTTAGCTGAGACACTCTCATAGGAACAATTCAGATTAAAAAGAAAAACAAAGCAGATGTTTATTGACATGTGCTGTACCCATTATGTGGGATAGGCCTCAAATCAAAAGTATCTGTTTTAAGGCGGTGGCTTACAGGGATTGCTTCAATTGTATTTTAACAAAGAGCAACACATTTTACTATCATTACAAAACAAGGAAGAGAGCAATTCCAGTCCTTTAAAAGGCAGGAAAATGTGAGAAAGTAAAATCTGTCCCCAATATTTTGGAAAGAAACATTTTAATTTATTTAACTCTCCTCTTTGAAAATTTACTTTCAGAAAGTTTGACATATTACAAGTCAAGTTGTTAGCTTTGGATAGATTTGGGTTACAGATTTTAAGATAAGCAACTTGGCAAAGGGAAGAAAAACATAGGTTGGAACAAGTGGACATAAACAAATTTAAGCAAACTGTTCCGTATCTTACTGCATCAGTCTCTTAGTCCTGAGAATAGTCAATTTAGTTGAACAGTGGCTTCTCATGAAAAGAGGTGGTATTTTAGGTGGGTTTTCAGCAAAGTTTAGTATCTACATGGTGTCGGCAAATAGATATTTTATGAGGCATTTCTTTGGAAACCATAGAAAAAAGTTAATGCATGGAGCAGTCTACAAACTAGTCTGAGGCTGGAGGACAGTCATTTGAGAATATTTTAGATTTGAGCTCAGACTATTTTCAATTGTAGTGGGTAGGCAGTGGTACTCTGAGAGATTTTCCTGGATTGTAGTTTGAATAAAGTGTTCCAATGAACTTTCTTTCCATAAATTGTTGTGGTGATTTCTCCAAAATTTATATCAAATCGTCTAGCTTTAGGGTTTCAGGGAAAGTGCAGTTTTAATTTCTAGTGATTTCAAGTCAAAGGGGTGGAAGAACAATTGAAAATATTAATCTAGAGAGTCATAGAAAGATACTGGAGGAATCTAAAAATTCAGGATTCTGTGCAGGTTTAAAAAAAGTCTTAAAAAGAAATAAGGAAGGCTAGAATCTAATAACAGGTACTCTGCAGCTATTTTTCTGAAACATACTTTTTCTCTCTCCAGTTCCTCATTTCTACCAAAGGTAATCACAGTAAGTCTGATTTATTTACAAAGTATGTTTTAGTCTCATATTTGGCCTAATTGTTTGCATAAAAGTCAGAAATAAGAGTGATTGACTGTATACACTCTTTTTAAGTTGGCTTTGCTGGAACTTCTTGTAAAGAATTTCAGATTAGACTTTTAAAGGCCTCTTTAGGCTAGGACACCAAGCCACAGACTCACCATCAGATTTTATCTGTATTACCTGGGTGAATTCTTCTTAAAGTCCCTCAAATATTATGATGTTCATGGGTCTGTCAGAAAGCGATATTCTGTACTTACCAGAAGGCTACAAACCCTGTAAGAGAACCATGTAGACAAGGTACCAAGTCAGTTTTCCCAAGTATTTTATTGGCTCCTGAAAGTTATCATTGGCTCTTTAAGGCAATCTAGTCAGATCGCCAAATGTGAAATCCCAGTCAGAGCTTTGACAATATCACCTGTGTTTCCAATTGTCTTGCTACAATAGGAGCAGATTTTTATTGAACTTATGTAAATAATTATGTTGCCCATAAAAACAAGAATACTCACAAGTAATTTTAGAATTCTGCAAAGATTAGGCAGAGAGAAAGGTAAATAAATGTCCTATTTTTGCTTACAAATGTATAATTTATAATATTACTAAAGAGGTATAGATAGTTTAAGAGAAAAAAAGAAAGTCTTCTTAACTCTTGGAAACAAAAGCTAAAAAGAATCAGCAATATTTCAAATGAAAAGTTATAAAAATACTTCAGTCCTTCATCAGTTGGGTTCCATGTAATTAATGTATTTTTTTTAATTGCTGTTAGGTTAGTAATTTTATGAGGCCAATTTTTTTTTAAATTAGAGTTTTGGAAACTTTTACCCAGTCCAATGACACAATCTCAATGTTTTCAGAAACCTGTATTTGTCACAGTTCTCTCATCATTTCCAAAAATGTTCTTAAAGACGTAACACAAAGGTCAGGCATGGTGGCTCACACCTGTAATCTCAAAATTTTGGGAGGCTGAGGCCGTAGGATCACTTGAGGCCAGGAGTTTGAGACCAGCTTAGGCAAAATAGTGTAACTCTGTTTCAAAAATAAATAAATAAATATAAGTAAAATAGCGAGGTGTGGTGGCACACACCTGTAGTCCTAGCTGCTCATAAGGCTGAGGCAGGAGGACCCTTGAATCTAAGAGGCTGAGGCTACAGTAAGGTATGATTAAAATACTGCACTCAAGCCTAGGCAACAGAGCAAAATCCTTTCTAGAAAAAAAAAGAAAAAGACATTACACTGAAGGATTTCCAGAGTTTTCAGAAAAAATAGCATCAAAATAAAGCAATTAAGTGTAGAAAACAAGATTTAAATTACTATGGTTAAAAACACAATTGATAAGGAAATTAGGTTATTTTGTGTGGACTAAAACAATCTAAAATAATGGCTCAAAATATGACTGATAACATATATCATGACATATCAGAAACGCATAATAACATATCTACACAAATATAACTCAAAGAAGGTTAAACATCATTTCTTATTTGACAATGCTTCCCATATAATTTATTGTATCCAATAAGTTTACTTATTATCTCTTTTTTTTTAGATGTTATAAGGGGCCCTCTGAAGCATCCCAAAGTTAGTTTAAGGTCAAAATGACTCAATCGTAGAATTTAAAAATTGATTTTGGAAAGCCTGCCAAATATGTCAAATATTTAAAAACTCAATCAAAACAGGATTACAGGTCACTATAAAACAATAATTGTAATTAATTTAGCCAAGATAATAATGAAAAAATTTCAAAAAGCAAATCCTGTACTCTTTGATAGGAGACTCAGTTTTCCAAAAAATCAAAAGACCTAAAAAAGATAGCATGAGGCACACAATTTATTTCTCTTTCCCCTCTTTTTAAAATTTTTGCTGTTTACTCAGTAAGTGGAGAAAAAATATTTTACTACCTCATCAATATCACATAAAAATCTTGTTTAAATTTTAGTTGTGCTGGTGATGTTAAGGCTCATTTTTAAAAACTCTTATAGTAAATTTATTTACTCAGTTTGATCACGCATAATTTTTAAAATCAGATTTACCTTTTAAAACCACTTTATAACTTTTTATCTATTCAATTTTAACATTACAAAATTATTTTATTATGAAACAATTTTAAGTAACATCCAAAGTAGACAAAATTACTTCTCTTTCAACAAAAGCCACATCCTCATATCTTATCTTATTTTTCTTATACATTATGCATAAATAATCATTTTTGTTACAGATAGTGTGATAGTTAACATTGAGTGTCAACTTGATGGGATTGAAGGATGCAAAGTATTGTTCTTGCATGTGTCTGTGTAGGTGTTGCCAAAGGAAATTAACATTTGAGTCAGTTGACTGGGAGAGGCAGACCCATCCTCCAACTGGATGGGCAACATCTAATCAGCTATCAGCGTGGCTAGAATAAAGCAGGCAGAAGATGGAAGAGCAGGTTTGCTGAGTCTTCCAGCCTTCATCTTTCTCCCGTGCTGGATGCTTCCTGCCCTAGAACATTAGACTCAAAAGTTCTTCAGCTTGTAGACTCTTGGACTTACACCAGTGGTTTGCCAGAGGCTCTTGGGCCTTTGGCCACTGATTGAAGGCTGCACTGTCAGCTTCCCTACTTTCAAGGTTTTAGGAATTGGACTGATCAACTACTGGCTTCCTTGCTCAACTTACAGACAACCTATCACGAGACTTTACCTTGTGATCATGTGAGTCAAATCTCCTTAATAAATGGCCTTTCATACATACATATATCCTATTAGTTCTGTCCCTCTAGAGAACCCCTCGAATATCAGCTATTAGTTTTAATTATATCGGTTGACGATAATTTCAAATCTTAGTAGCCCTTATTGTCAGTGAAAAACCTAAGAAGTAAGCAATTTTGTTATGTACCATTTCATGAATACATATCTCAGAGTTTGTAAAAACATAGGCAATTTATAGATGAATTTTTAATGTGGAACAGGCCACATTTGCTAACAAACTCAAATATCTTTTGTTTTTTTTCTGAAATAAGAAGCCAAATGCATACAAACTTTCTTTTCTTCAACTTTTATTTTAAGTTCTGTGTACATGTGCAGGACGTGCAGGTTTCTTCCACAGGTAAATGTGTGCCATTGTGGTTTGCTGCACAGATCAACCCATCACCTAGGTAAACAGATCAACCCATCACCTAGGTATTAAGCCCAGAATTTTTTTTTTTTTTTTTTTGAGACAGAGTCTCGCTCTGTCGCCCAGGCTGGAGTGCAGTGGGACAATCTCAGCTCACTGCAAGCTCTGCCTCCCGGGTTCAACCATTCTCCTACCTCAGCCTCCTGAGTAGCTGGGACTACAGGTGCCCGCCACCATGACTGGCTTTTTTTTTTGTATTTTTAGTAGAGATGGGGCTTCACCATGTTAGCCAGGATGGTCTCGATCTCCTGACCTCGTGAACTGCCCGCCTCAGCCTCCCAAAGTGCTGAAATTACAGGCGTGAGCCACCGCGCCCGGCCAAGCCCAGAATTTATTAGCTATTCTTCCTGATGCTCTCCCTCCCCCTATACCCGCCCACCCCAACAGCCCCCAGTGTGTGTTGTTTTCCATGAATCCATGTGTTATCATCATTCAGCTCCCATGTATAAGTGAGAAAATGTGGTGTTTGGTTTTCTGTTCCTGTGTTAGTTTGCTGAGGATAATGGCTTCCAGCTCCATCCATGACCCTTTAAAGGACATGATCTCATTTATTTTTATGGCTGCACAGTATTTCATGGTGTATATGTATCAGATTTTCTTTATCCAGTCTATTGTTCATGGGCATTGGCTTGATTCCATGTCTTTGCTATTGTAAACAGTGCTGCAATTAGCATATACAAACACATATAAACTTAAACTCATATTTAGTACTTAATGTTTTAGCATTATTTCTTATTTGGAATATCTAGACCACTAGATATTCAATGAATACCTATCATTTAGTTTAGCTTAGGAAAAACTCTAAGGTGTAGTTACTAAAAATATTTGAAAAATCTAAGTAAGTATATTGTAAACATAATTATTATTAAAAAGTTTATGTGAACTCTTTAATCCCATTTACATTTATTTATTACTTACCATTAGGTTTTAAAAATTGCATAAAATATTAGACAAATCTAGTCATCATCTGAAGTTAAATTTTTTATTAAAGTTATATACATGTATATTTTGCTGGTAACACAGAAAACATAACTGTCTATCGAACCAACAAAATTAGACTAGTCTTACTTACCAAATGATTTACTCAAGTTATGTGAACTTGAAAAATATTTGGGATTATTTATTTAAACTATGAAATATAGTGTATGTGTAACTTAATTTGTACCATGTAAAAACATACAAACACATGTATAGACATATACATACAGGTAAACACAACATATAGCACACATATGTAAAAGCCAAAAAGATCAAGGATATTTATTAATGTTAAAGAGAATAGAACTTTAGATTTGAAAGGGACTTGTCTAATCACAACTTGTGGGACTTCATAAAGAAAATAGGGGTATCCAATAAAAGGGGCTCACTGGTGCCAATTTTTGTTCTTTAAGAGGCCCCAGGGTCATTAGGAGTCTCTTCCAGGTTCTTCATGTGTTATCAAATGTTACAAAAGGAAAAATAGACAAAAGTGAATGGAGGAACAAATCTTAGAGGAGCCAGTTTGAAGAGGTATTAGATTTCTCAAAGGCTAACAAGGTTTTCTTTTAGGATTTTAAAAACTTCAATAGCTTTGGGGTACAAGTCATTTTTGGTTACATGGATGAATTATATAGTGGTGAATTCTGAGATTTTAGTGCATCTGTCATAAATCTCAGAATTCATCACTGTATAATGTGCTCTACCCAATATATACTTTTTTATTCCACACCCCGTCCCATTCTCCCCCTTCTGAGTTTTACATAGTTCTCGGCAAAAAAATATGCCAACAAGAAGAGAAGCAGACGGAGCACATATAGTTAGCAGGGATTTAAGAAGAAAGGAATTCAGTTGACTGAATTGCTTTTACAAAGAGAACAAAGTGCCCCACTCACGGTGTGTGTGTGTATGCCTATTTTTAAAAAACCTAGAAAGTAAGTAATTTTGAACTGTCTTATATAAGTATTTGTAGATTAAAATAATTTCATAATTTCTTGGAAGAATATATTTTCCATTAGTATATGTATGTATATACATTAGTATGTGTATGTACTAACATATACGTAGGCCTATTTGTTCACTCTCTTCTGATGCCTCAGGGGCCCTACATAATCTCCCAAAGTTAGCCTGTGGTCAAAAATAGTTATTTTTCATTTTGACATTTGATTTCTGAATGCTTGTCAAATACAACAAAGGTTTAAAACACTTAGTTAAAATATGATAATAATAATAATAACCATTTATTTTGCCAAAGTAATAATTGAAAGGATTTTAAAAGCAAAAGCTTTACTCTTTCATAGAGAGGAGACTCAGTTTTTCAAACAATAAAAGATCTAATAAAGGCAACATAAGAGAGAATTTCTCCTCTCCCCTTTTTTTCTTATAGTTTAAACATAAAAAAAAATTACTGTCTCTTATTATTATTACATGAAATCCTTGTTCAAATGGAAAAACTAAATTTTACTTCTTTATTAGTGTGTTATCAATATTAAAGCTAATTTTAATAAAACCTTATAAACAAATCTGTTACATCTGTTACCTTTTGACCACAAAATATATTCATAAACCTTTTATAACCTCTTATAAAATATTTTCTATTCATTTTTCTTTCCCCAACTTTTTGTATCCATTTAGCTTTAGCTACATAATCTTTTCTTCATTTTGAAACAATCTTTAAATTACTTCTTTTTTTTTTAAATTTTATTATTATACTTTAAGTTTTAGGGTACATGTGCACAACGTGCAGGTTTGTTACATATGTATACATGTGCCATGTTAGTGTGCTGCACCCATTAACTCGTCATTTAGCATTAGGTATATCTCCTAATGCTATCCCTCCCCCCTACCCCCACCCCACAACAGTCCCCGGTGTGTGATGTTCCCCTTCCTGTGTCCAAGTGTTCTCATTGTTGAATTCCCACCTATGAGTGAGAACATGCGGTGTTTGGTTTTTTGGCCTTGTGATAGTGTGCTGAGAATAATGGTTTCCAGCTTCATCCATGTCCCTACAAAGGACATGAACTCATCATTTTTTATGGCTGCATAGTATCCCATAGTGTATATGTGCCACATTTTCTTAATCCAGTCCATCATTGTTGGACATTTGGGTTGGTTCCAAGTCTTTGCTATTGTGAACAGTGCAGCAATAAACATACGTGTGCATGTGTCTTTATAGCAGCATGATTTACTAAACTAAACAAGATTATTTTTCTTGACAAATACACATCTTCATGCCTTTGCAACTTTACTCATCAAGAACATATCTTACTTTTTTAATACATTCTGTATACAGAATTCTTTCTTTTATATCCAGTAGTTTCACTTACATATATTAAATACTGTTTTAACTCTTAGTAACCCTAATTCCCAGTAAAAACATATGGGAGGTAAGTAACTTTGAACTTTTTTAAATAAATATTTGTAGATGAAAACCATTTTATACTTTTTCAGAAAGATATACTTTCTCAATTTTTTGTTTATTAATAGATCTAAATATATATTTATTTTCCTACACCATACAAAAATAAGGTACTGAAGTATATACACTTAAACTAATATTAATTCTTTTAGTATTTTAACTTACTTAGAAATGACTTAGAGATTTTATTATTATTACTTTAATTAACACAGCATGACTTTCAGAATTTAAATTACAAAAAAGAATTTTGAAGCTATGACAATAGCAGACTTCCTAATGTCTTCTCCAGTCATCTTGGGTCCAAAGTTCCCACCTGCTACCCAAGGACAGCAGTGAAGGGCAGGATACATTTGGGCCCTAAGTTTACACATCAGGTGTAAAGCTCAGGACAGTAGAAAGAATTGTGAAAAGGATGACTGGAGGATTTGATCCTCCCAGTATGGCCAGGAGATAGAGCTGGGCCAGGGAGAATGGGGCCTTTTGGGGCTTGGCTCTGCACTGCAGCTGATAGCACAGGTACTGTAGGCACACATACGTCCCCAGGCCTCACCATGGTCCCCTATCTAGGCCTCAGAATCTAAAGTTTCAAAACCAAATACATAAGCTCATAAACAAATCAAGTAAGTATAAAAAATATTACAGAAGCAGTAGTTTTATAAACTTTAAATGTGTATCATAGACAATATAAGCCTGTTTGAAAAGTAGACCCAGGAAAAAGGTCAAATTTTATTTAATACCGATAATTCTGAATACATTCCTATTTTATTTTACCAAAAAACTTTATTTAAGTTACTTTAACGTAACTCTATTTATCAAATATTGTTTTAGATCACGTAGAAATACCATATATGCATAGCACATAGACATATAGACAGAAGATCTTAGAGCTGTCATTAAGCTTTTTTATTTGCCAATTTTCAAATTTTTTTTCCCGTTCAGACTATCAACTTTCCAATTCCCTGTATTTATTGCCCTAAGCAATTGTTAGCTAGGCAACCATAAATTCACACTTCGCTTTTTTTTTTTAATTGAGACAGAGTCTTGCTCTGTCGCCCAGGCTGGAGTGCAGTGGCGCAATCTCGGCTCACTGCAACCTCTGCCACCCGGGTTCAAGTGATTCTCGTGCCTCAGCCTCCCAAGAAGCTGGGACTACAGGCATGTCACCATGCCCGGCTGATGTTTTTTATATTTTTAGTAGAGACAGGGTTTCTCCATGTTGGCCAGGCTGGTCTCGAACTCCTGACCTCAAGTGATCCGCCTGCCTCAGCCTCCCAAAGGGCTGAGATTACAGGCATGAGCCACCCCACCCAGCCTGAAGCTTTTGTTAAAAAAAGAGACAAGGTCTTGCTATGTTACCCAGGCTAGACTGCAGTGGCCATTCATAGGCATGATCATAGCACATAGTAGCCTTGAACTTCTGGGCTCAATAGACTGTACCGCCTCAGCCCCCTGAGTAGCTGGGGCTACAGGTGTGTGCTATCATAGATCCAGTCCAATTTCTGTTGTGACTTCTGAACACAGATTGTATCAAAAAACAATCAAACTCAGGTAGTTCAAACACAAATCTGTGGAGCTTCAGAATTTGAGAGATGATTTACTCACAATCTCCAGTTGCTGCCCAGCTTTAAATTTACACTTCTTATCATGAACTGATTCTTAGGGAAAGCAAGGTAAAAATTAATATCTCCAAAGCACAGAGCTGAGATTTCAAGCCTATATAGTGTACAGTCATTTGTTCAAACCAAGGAAGGATGGTATAAGCTAAGACAAGATAGCAAGGAAAAACACCCTAAATAAAGGTAAGACTTGTCATGTAAATTAAAACTAATGCTAGAAGTTTCTAGTGACTCAGTCCTCCCTTTCTTCCTGGTGCAGACGCATACACTTTTGCAAATTGATATTTCCTTTATAAGTGCACATTTATTTTACAACATGGTTTCAAAATGGTCAGCTAAATGCCTTTAAGGTACATTTTGGAGACTGATATGATTCAACAGGCAGTCTTCTTAACTTAGCTTTGGTTTCTTAGTTGAAATTACTTATTTCAAAGTGAAACTCATTAACTAATATGGCAAAGAAAGCATTCTGTATGCGTGGATTCAGCATGAATAGCTCTGAAGAATAAAAGCAAGCCTACGTTACCCGAGAGCTTACTTTTTATAAACGTCTTATCCAGCTTTCTTTTTACCTTCAGAGTAAACTAATCCAAAGGCTTATGGATTCATTATTTCTTATCAATTAGTTGCTTCAGTGTTTTATTTGCCTTTTATAAAGAGTCTTTTTTAAAAGGCAGTAAAATATTGAAATTTTTTTAGAAGCTTCTGCACATCAGTAAGCATCCCTGGTGTTAAACTAATTTGGGAGGTCTCATTATTAAATGCATTTTTTTAAAGTGCAACATTGTTCATTTAGAACATTTCGTTGTAATTTAAAATCATCGTTAGTATAATTTTGCCTTTTTTTGTAAGCATTTGCTGCTTTTAGGGCCTAATACTTGTAAGTGCAAATGTAGGTGTAGATGGAAGAGGGAGTCCTCTTGATCAACTTTTTTTTTCCTCTAAGCTCACAAGAATCAAAACAAAAGGGACAAAACAAAAAAAAAATTCTGCAAATTTCCAAAAGCTGGAGTTTATATCACTATCATATTGTCATTTACTGCAAGTTTCTGTCTACCACTGTCAGATATCCAAAGCATCTAGCTGTATCTAATCCTGTTAATTATCAGATCCAATTTTATCCTGGACCTAGTCATTTCCATTGTGACTTCTGAACACAGACTGTATAAAAAAATTGCTCAGGCTGGGTGCTGTGGCTCACGCCTGTAATCCCAGCAGTTTGGGAGTCTGAGGCGGGTGGGTCACCTGAGGTCAGGAGTTCAAGACCAGCCTGGCCAACATGGTGAAACCCCATCTGTACAAAAATACAAAAATTAGCCGTGCATGATGGCGGGTGCCTGTAATCCCAGTTACTTGTGAGGCTGAGACGGGAGAATTGCTTGAACTTGGGAGACAAAGGTTGCAGTGAGCCGAGATAGCACCACTGCATTGCAGCCTGGGTGACTGAGCAAGACTCAGTCTCAAAAAAAAAAAAAAATTGCTCAAGCAAACTCAAATACTTCAAAAACAAATCTGTGTAACTTCAGAATTTGAGAGAATTTACTCACAATCTCCAGTTGCTGCAAGACAGCAATGGACACAATGGACCCAGCAGAAACCTCACTTGGTCACTGGATGCTCCTAGGGTTCACTGGAAGTTCTACATTGCATCCCACTCCTGATGTTACCTTTTAAAAGAAAAATTTTAGACAAATTAATCTTAAAGTTTGAGTATAAAATGATTTGTGACTAGAACAGCCCCTGGAACAAGAATAGATTCAGAGTGACTCTGGGCTACCACATGTCTGGAAAATACTTATAGCTAGAAAAAGGAAAGTGACATATAGGAAATGGAAGTATAGGTACAGAAACAGCGGTTATAGCTTGACATTTGCCTAATTTGAACATTGTTTGAACAGTTGGCCACTTGTGATTGGCTGAAACGATGAGATTGGTACAAGAGGAGGCTATAGTGTGTTTACCTATTCAGTTAGGTTACAGTTTATTATGTATGAAGAAATCTAAGTTCAAACTTAAGTAAGAAGACAGATTTAGGATAAACTTAACACAGTTTTGGGGTGAGAGTGGGAATATTTGCCTATTGAAGGTCTAGGGTTATCACTAACTGTTTTGCCTTTTTCAAAAGTGAACAGTACCATTTCCAATATCCTGATTTTCTTTAAAAGTATTTGCAAACATTTTGAAATAAATACACGGACTTTAAAATGTTTGTAGAGGGGTATTTTTGTCTATGTAATGACTCCATTTGTAAGAAAAAACAATTGCTTTCAATTCCCCTAAAAACCATGCTGCCATCTGAACAATATCCAGGGCTGACCCATCCATTTAACTATACTAGCTTCAATTTATTCTTTTAAATCAGGGAATAAATATCTAGCTAAGATGGAAATCAAAATATTTACCTGCTTTGAATTAGAGTTGATTGTCTCTCAAATGTTTTAACAAATTGTTTCTTTCCTTCTTGAGTATATGGTCCCATTTAGCTTAGGAGAAAAAAATGAAGAAACAAAACACAATGTTTTCATCATGCTCTAAGCATAAACCAAGGTTTTAAATGAATGGTATGCCTGAAAAAAATGACTCAAAACCAAGGCAAATAAGCACACATGAGAACAAAACCAAAAATGCCTTTATAGCTTTAACCAAGGTCTTCAAAGAGGGAACAAGGCCTGCAACCCTTTCAAGATCCAGACCATTTCCAATGATAGCTTAAAGAATGTGAAATATTCTCTAGGGTTTCAGTTAACCATTCTCACACAAAGCCCCAACAACACTGTGTGTTCCATAGATGGAAAATTAAAAGAGACAAACAGTAAGACAGTAAATCAAAAGCTGTCCAATAGAAAAGATTACAAATAGATTCCACAGAAAGTCAAGAGACATACAAATAATTTAAAACAAGCAATGTAAACTAATTCTCATAAACATTTCTCTTTTGAGCTAAAGGTATCCACTGAGGAAAAAAACGTTCTGGTGGATCTAAAGATCTTTAACCCTGTTTTAAATCTGATCTGTGCTGGAATGCTGATTAATTACCTGGAAGTCAACATTTAAAAGACATGGTAAGATTTACATCTCCACTGGACAAAAAAGCCTTTTTCAGTCAGACTGAAGTACTTTTTGTAAATACCGTGATGAATTTACAGGAACTTGGGAACAGAGCTTCTTTTAAAAAATTGATTTATTTCAAATATAGCTAATTGATGTATTCCAAAGCAACTTGAACCAATAAGCCAAAATAAAAACACCAGAGTTACTATACCTAAAAGCAATTTTATGCAAATGATTTTCTCCTGTTATTTGAATTTGGAAAAAAGAAATAGAAAAGAAAAAAAAAATACCTTCCCCTTTCTACCAAGCACTGCAGATAGAGATCTGGAGCACTGATTTTTCTGCCAATGTTTGTCAGGTTTCAGAATTCCATCCATTGGCCCTGGAGTGAGGAGAGTGTCTCTCTCAATCCCTTCGTGGCCATGAGACTGAAGGGAAAAATTAAGTTGTTTTTTAACCCTCATAAATTCTTAGTTGAGACACTCTCATGGAAATAACAGTCAGATTAACAAGAGAAAAAACAGCAAGTTTATTGACACATGCTGTACCCATCATCTGGGAAAAACTCAGTTCAAAAGAATCTCTCTCAAGGCAGTGGCTTAGGGGTCTTGCTTAAATAGTATTTTTAAAAAGAGCAATAAATCTTAGCATAATGATAACACAACGGAGAGAGCAAGTTTCGCTTTTGAAAAACAGAGGAATCCGGGAAAATAGTAAAATTTGTTTTCCAGATTCCTCTGGCACCTGCTGGTTGGTGCTTTCTCTGAGCTGACAAAAAAGTGCTGTCTCCAGTAATGAAGGATTTACATCCTGCCATCAGACTAATAGAGGCTGATGCAGAGTGTTCCCCTGCATTTTTAGTATCTTTGACTTAACAATCTTCAACATTTTGTGGAGAAATATTTTGGATTCATTTATTAACCTATTTTAGGTCAGCTGATTAGCAAACTCAATTCTATGTGCAACTTAATTTTTCTTTTGCCGTCTAATCTAAAATATTCACAGTTTGCTGGAATTAGCATGTGGATATCTTTAGAAGGCCATTATTCTACCTATCACAAACCCCTTTTAGCTATGTTATCTTTATGATGTCACAAAAACTGTGATGCTTCAGTTGTTTTTATCTATAAAATAGAGGCAATAATTCTTGTTCTGGGCGGGTGCAGTGGCTCATGCTTGTAATCCCAGCACTTTGGGAGGCCGAGGTGAGTGGATCACCTGAGGTCAGGAGTTCAAGACCAGCCTAGCCAACATGGTGAAACCCCATCTCTACTAAAAATACAAAATTTAGCCAAGCGTGGTTGTGCGTGCCTGTAGTCCCAGCTACTCAGGAGGCTGAGGCAGGAGAATCTGTTGAACCCAGGAGGTGGAGGTTGCAGTGAGCCGAGATCATGCCATTGCACTCCAGCCTGGACGACAGAGGGAGACTCCGTCTCAAAAAGTTCTTGACCAGGCACCGTGGCTCACGCCCGTAATCCTAACACTTTGGGAGGCCAAGGCAGGCAGATCACGAGGTCAGGAGATCGAAACCATCTTGGCTAACACGGTGAAACCCTGTCTCTACTAAAATTAGCCGGCGTGGTAGCGGGCACGTGTAGTCCCAGCTACTCAGGAGGTTGAGGCAGGAGAATGGTGTGAACCCAGGAGGCAGAGCTGGCAGTGAGCGGAGACCATGCCATTGCACTCCAGCCTGGGTGACAGAGCGAGACTCCGTCTCAAAAAAAAAAAAAAAAAAAAATTGTTTGTGTTCTGTCTACTACAATGGGTATAATGATTGTTCTTTTGCTTTGTACTATGTAAGTAAGTATATTATCAGGGCTCAGGCACCATGCCTTAAAGTATGGTACCTTGGCATGCTAAGTATTTTTGAGTTGAAGGAGATAGCAGTGACTCAGAAGCTAGAAAGTCTCTCTGACCTTATCCCACCTTCCTGTCTCCCGCCCCTAATTCTCCCCAAACGGAAACCATGAAACTTAGGAAAATTGCCCTCTGAAATATGTCATAAGATCCTTATGTGACAGTTGTCCTGCTGTATATCCAGAGGAAATGAATGCTTAACAGAGAGGCCAAGAAGAAACTGAACAAATAGGCCTTGCTGGGTTTCCTCCTCAGTTTATTACCATTAGATTATACCTTTTGTGTCCAATTATTTGTCTCCACAACTATCTACTTCTTTCCTCAGACTTAGCATGAAAACACACTTTTTCCTAGGTCTTTGGCTTTTCATTTCTGAAGGCTCCCATGTCATGTAATGAATTTGTTTTGTTTTCCATTGTTAATCTGTCTTTTGTTATATATCAGCTATAAACCTGATAATGGTTATGGCAATGGGAAAGGAAGATAAAGCACCTTTTCATCTCTACAATATGAATGCTAGGTGTTGACTATAAGTAATCTTTTTAGTAAAATGTTATTATAATACAAATACAGAGGTACTTGAAATTGCACACTTGTTATAAGAGGTCCAATGTGATTCTCAACAGGTTTGGAAAACTAAACTGGCATTCCACTTTGCAAAAAAATGGAATAGATTATATATATATTTATATATTATATATATTTATGGATTATATATATTTACATATAAATATATCTGTTAAAAAAACCTTGTGTGAAGCTAATTGCATTTATCACAGGCTTATAAATAAGTAATTAAATTTAAGTCCCTATTCAATGATGTTTTATACTTATCTTCATATTCAACCACGGAGTGTGAAAAGTCAGACTATTCAAAAAAACATGTCAGTATTCATAAAATTGAATCTTACACCTTATCTCAAATTTGCTTATTTCCTCACATTAGTTTGTATTAATAGGGACTACAACGTAATAGAAATCCGTGATTGCTTTTGATTTAAAGATGAGATCATCTCCATATTTCCTGAAGCAAAATTTTCATGTTCAGAGGTTTAAGGTGAGTCCTAGTTGACCAGCTGAAACTCTTCAATTCTTATTATTGATACACTGTAGCATAAAATTGTATTTTTCATTACTGAACGTTTTCTTCTGTTCACTGGAAACAAATAAATTTGCATCGAATGTCACCAGATTTCAATTTTGAAACATTAATTTAATTTCATTCTATACTTTCTTATCATCCTATGAAAGTTATTCATTATTAGCTTAAATTGCATATACATAATATCATCTGTTATTTGGGATTATATGATGGAATATTTTTAAATAGGCTTTAATAAAATAAATAGTGAAATAGAGAAAATATATTTGTGTGTGAATACATGCTTACATATTTATGGTTCACGCATGTGTGTATGTTTGCACATTTGAGTGTGGGGGTACACAGTAAAAAATCAGTAAATCTAGAAGATGAGAATTGACAAAGAGAGTAAACATTAGAAAATATTAAAGAATATTAATCATAACTCCCAAGTGGTAGAAATAATTCTGTTCAAATTTTATCAACTCAGGACAGAGAGCTATTTTTTACTGATTCTCTCTTATTTTACTTAACACTGAGGTAGTATACTTTTTCATGACTTTCTGACTTGGAAATCTCCATTCAGTGACATTTATTAGATGCCTATTTATGCCCCAGTACATAAGAGAGGCAGAGAACCTCTCTGTGACTCCTCTTTCCACTGCAGAATTTGAGCAGTCAAGGCTGAGGGAAAGCATTTTGCTTCTCCCAAGCCCTGGAGGTAACTTGTGGAAATGCCTGGAGACACTGAGAGGAAAATACCATATAAAGCAACTACATAACTGAAACTACAAAGCAAGCAGCTAACAACTTCAGGATAGGGTCAAAACCTAACATATCAATATTAACATTGAATGTAAATGATTGAAGTGCTCCATTTAAAAGACACACAGTTGCAAGTTGGATTTTTAAAAAGACACATCCACCTAATGTCTTCAAGAGACCCATCCTGCACATAAATGACACCCATGGGCTCAAAGTAAAGCGCTGGAGAAAGATCTATCGTGTGAATAGAACACTTAAAAGGGCAGGGGTCACTACTCTTATATCAGATAAAACAGACTTTAAACTAACAACAGTAAAAAAAGACAAAAGAACATCATTATATAATTACATGGGGTTTAAATAAACGAAAAGACTAAACTATCCTAAATATATAAGCATCTAACATTTGAACACCCAGATTCATAAGACAAGTACTTCTAGACCTATGAAAACACTTAGACACACAATAACAAGTGGGGGATGTTAACACCTCACTGACAGCAGTAGACAGATTTTCTAGGCAGAAAACTAAGAAGAAATTTTGGACTTAAACCCAACACTTGACCAACTGGACCTGATAGACATCTACAGAATACTCTGCCCATCAACAAGAGGATATACATTCTTCTCATCTGCACATGAAACATACTCCAAGATCAACCATATGCTTGGTCATAAACCAAGTTTATGACCCCCACTCTGTAGGAAGATCAGGCAACCATCAGAGGATGGTTTGGCCGTTGTCACATTGCCTCTCTAAAATGGTAATTGATTGCAGCCGACACCAGGAAGAGGCAGTTTCCCAACAGATAAATACACTTGAAATTGGTAATTGGCAGCTTCCAATAAGATCTCAGGAATTGGGTGAATGAGCTCAATATGTGCATTAAGAGACAAAATGGTGCAGTACGACCTTCCAGGGGCATACCACTGGAAAAGGGAAGAAAGCCTCAGGTTAGCATGCATACAATTCCAGTAAATACATTGCACATACTCACTTCCCAAGTGCAACCAGGGCACCACATATGCGGGCGGGTCACCGTAAGGGAAGAATGAAAGGAAAGGGGTGCAAGATGCGAGAAGTAGGTCAGCACATAAAATCCAATGTTCAAGGTGAAACAGGGCACTTGACCTCTAAGGGACCCACTTGGGTCTCTTCTTTATTTCCTACTCTAAAGCTTTTTAATAAACTTCTGCCGTGCTCTGAAACTTGCCTCAGTCTTTTTCTGCCTTGTACCCCTCAGTCAAATTTTTTTCTTCTGAGGAGGCAAGAATTGAGGTTGCTGCAGACCCACATGAATTTGCCAAGGGTAAGTCACATATTCGCCCCTGCTAGCAAACTGACCAAAATGAGACTCCAAAATACATACAAATAATTAACAAAACAATAGTTGGTTTTTTGAAAAGATAAACAAGATCAATACACTACTAGCCAGATCAACAAAGAAAAAGAGAGAGAGGATCCAAATAGCACAATCAGAAATGAAACAGGTGATATTACAAATGATCCCACAGAAATACAAAAGAATCTCAGGGACTATTATGGACACTTATATGCACAAAAACTAGGAGAAAATCCAGAGAAAATTGATAACTTCCTCAAAACATACAACATCTTAATATTGAATCAGGAAGAAATTGAAACCTTGAACAAACTAATACCAAGTTCTGAAATTGAATCAGAAAAAAAAAAAAAAAAACCTACCTACCAACCAGAAAAAGCCTCGGACTAGAAAGATTCACTGCTAATTTCTACCAGATGTACAAAGAAGAGTTGATACCAATTCTATTGAAACTCTTCTAAAAAGATGAGGATAAGGGACATCTCCCTAACTTATTCTGTGAAGCCAGTATCACCCTGATACTAAAACCTGGCAAAAACACAACAAAAAAAACAAACTACATGCCAATATCTCTGATGAACATAGATGCAAAAATTCTTAACAAAATACTAGCAAATGTAATTCAGAAGCACATCACAAAGTTGATTTCGCCACAATCAAGGAGGCGCCATTCTTGTGATGCTAGATTGGTTTAACATATGCAAATCAATACATGTGATTCACCACCCAAACAGAACCAAAAACAAAAATCATATGATCAGCTCAATAGATGCAAAAAAAAAAAAAAAGCTTTGGAGGCAGGCGGGGCCGCTCTTTGCGCACTAGCTCGCCGGCGTTCCCAAGGCCCGCAGGAATGGCCCTCGCCTGGGGGCCCAGCTCGCCACCGCTAGCCCCGCAGAGCCAGCTGCTGTTGGGGCCCCCGCAGCCGCCAGGGGGCGGGAGAGGCGTCGCGAACAATGGCCGCGCTGGGTCGCGGGCCGGCGGGAGGCGTAGTGGAGAGACAAGGGCTTTAGCTTACTTTTTAAAGATTGAAGAAAAATAAAGAAGAAGAAGACAGAAAAAGAAGAACTCAAAGATACACAAAGTAATTTGACCAAGGCTCAGAAGTTTTTGGAGCCGTGAGGGACACAGCAGTTTGGTCAATATTGTCTTAACATGCTTCAAATAAATCAGCTTCTCTCCAAGATAAAATTGGCAAACCCAAAAGAGAAAACTGCAATGTATCTGGTAAATGAGTTAGCCCGTTTCAATAGAGTCCAACCCCAGTATAAACTTCTGGATTAAAGAGGGCCTGCTCATTCAAAGATGTTCTCAGTGCAACTGAGTCTTGGTGAGCAGACATGGGAATCCGAAGGCAGCAGTATAAAGAAGGCTCAACAGGCTGTCGGTAATAAAGCTTTGACTGAATCTACGCTTCCCAAACCTATTTAGAAGCCACCCAAAAGTAATGTTAACAATAACCCAGGCTGTATAACACCAACTGTGGAACTGAATGGGCTTGCTATGAAAAGGGGCAGAGCCTGCCATCCACAGGCCATTAGATCCAAAGCCATTCCCAAATAATAGAGCTAATTACAACTTTCAAGTCATGTATAATCAGAGGTATCATTGCCCAATACCTAAGATCTTTTATGTTCAGCTCATGTAGGAAATAATGAATTTTTGGGGGAAGGAAAGCCAGACACAATGCTGCAATGAAAGACATCCAAGCACTGCAGATTGAACCTATTCCAGAAAGATCGCCTTAGAATGGTGAATCAGGAAAGGATATAGATGATGACAAAGATGCAAATAAGCCTGAGATCAGCTTAGTGTTTGAAATTGCTCTGAACTGAAATATACCTGTTAGTTCTGAGGTTATTAAAGAAAGTGGACCACCACATATGAAAAGCTTTGTTACTCGAGTGTCAGTAGGAAAGTTCTCTACAGAAGGAGAAGGAAATAGCAAAAAACTCTCCAAGAAGCGTGCTGCAACCACCGTCTTACAGGAGCTTAAAAAACTTCCACCTCTTCCTGTGGTGGAAAAGGCAAAATTATTTTTTAAAAAACGCCCTAAAACAATAGTCAAGGCCGGACCAGAATAGGCCAAGGGATGAACCCTATTAGCTGCCTGGCGCAAATTCAACAGGCCAAAAAGGAAAAGGAGCCAGATTATGTTTTGCTTTCAGAAAGAGGAATGCCTCGATGTCGAGAATTTGTGATGTATATGAAGGTAGGCAATGAAGCTGCTACAGGAACGGGACCTAATAAAAAGGCCAAAAAAAAAAAAAAGTGTTGCAGTAGCAATGCTATTACAACTTGGTTATAAAGCATCCATTAATCTTCAGGATCAACTTGAGAAGACAGGGGAAAACAAAGGATGGAGTGATCCAACGCCTGGGTTTCCTGAACCAACAAATAATACTCCAAAAGGAATTCTTCATTTGTCTCCTGATGTTTATCAAGAGATGGAAGCCAGCCACCACAAAGTAACCTCTGGCACTACTCTAGGCTATTTGTCACCCAGAGATATGAACCAACCTTCAAGCTCTTTGTTCAGTATGTATCCCACATCAAATAGTTCAGCTACAATGGCCAGGGAACTCCTTATGAATGGAACATCTTCTACAGCTGAAGCCACAGGTTTAAAAGGAAGTTCTCCTACTCCCCCTTGTTCTCCAGTACAACCTTCAAAACAACTGGAATATTTAGCAAGGATTCAAGGCTTTCAGGTATGAATTAAAAGCAAAAACAAAAAATAAAACAATTTGTTTGCCTAAGATCCTTCATCTCTATCCATCACAAGGCTCATTCTTGCCTGCTAGTGTGGCCTACATGCCACTTACATTTTAAGTTATTTAGGAATACAAAGGACAGACAAAAAAGAGCCATATGCACAGGCCTCATTTTCTCTTATTTTTGTTCTGTCTAGTAATTCTTTTCCTGCCTGTCTCTTCTCCATTTTCCTTCTTATTTTTCTTTTTCCTTTTTAAACAGTTTTCATACTCTTCACTGTCTTCCATTTGGTCTTGATTAGGTGCATCCATCTCTTCACTTGGTCTTCCACAAACAAAAATTCTGCCTTCAGACATTTGGTGTTAGTATTTCACACTCAGTTCTCCCTCTTTTTACATAAGGATTGAGTTTTTTTTAATGATGATTTTACTTTTATAGCAGTTCTGAATTTTGCATTCTGTTGCTAGTATTGATTCCGATACACCATTAAAATACAACATTCTAGAAGTCTGTTACCTTAGGAGTTAATTAAACATGATATTTGAAGAAAAATGAAATGCTTTATAGTTGTTTGAGGCATACCAATGTGTATTTGTTTTACTGGATCATGTTTTGAACTGACTAGGGAGGGTAGCACCTGCCTCAGATGGTACCAACAATTCTATTTCACTGGGTAGTCTAAAACTAGCTTATAGCTTAACTTAACTTGTGTATGTGAATTTAGGGATGAAAACTTTTTTGTTTCCTTTTGGGAAAAAAACCCCACAAAAATCAACACTCCTTTATGGATACATCAGAGCTTTTAAAAGAATTGTTAACTCTAGGAAGGGGAAATATCTGTGTCCCGATTTCTTAGTTGCCTTGAAAATCATGTACTGAACTGTAACCACTAACTTGACTGGATGAATTGCAGT